>NC_000003.12:153705574-154008604 GCF_000001405.40 Homo sapiens
ATGTTATGCGTAAAAGATATGACAGCTGGATTATCCCCTGTAGTTTCTGATAGACTTCCCAATAAAATTAAGAATAATGGTGACATGTTGTGGTTAGAGTTATCTGGCAAGGGGTGGCATACCCAGCTACCTGTTAAATTTAAACTGCTTGCAAAATGTAAGAGCCACAGCAGGGCATTTTTCTTCCCAATAAAAGCTACAGGAGTGTCTCTGAAACACAGAAGATCATTAATGTCCCTCCTTCCTCCATAACTCCGAGTAACTAAGGCATTTCTGCTCCAGATACCGGAATTTTTGCTCTTCTGTCATTGCCACAAAATGAATGTGCTACATTCCAGTAGTTACAAATTCATCTCTTTTCTAATCACTCCTTAACTGCATACGCTATGCACACTTTTGATTTTTTTCTATGCTATTGTCAGTAGCATCAAAAGGGTCTGCTGCAAGAGGGACAATGGTATTTTTGTTAAACATAGAGACACAGTATCTTCCAAACATGCCCTTTGTGCAAGAGTAAGATACTGTATTTATTTTTATTTATTTATTTATTTATTTATTTATTTATTTATTTATTTATTTATTTTTGAGAGGGAGTCTCTCTCTGTTGCCCAGGCTGGAGTGCACTGGCGCGATCTCAGCTCACTGTAAGCTCCACCTCTTGGGTTCACGCCATTCTCCTGCCTCAGCCTCCCGAGTAGCTGGGACTATGCCCGCCACCAAGCCTGGCTAATTTTTTTTTTTTTTTTTGTATTTTTAGTAGAGACGGGGTTTCACTGTGTTAGCCAGGATGATCTCGATCTCCTGACCTTGTGGTCCGCCCTCCTCAGCCTCCCAAAGTGCTGGGATTACAGGCGTGAGCCACCGTGCCTGGCCTGTATCTATCTTCTAAAGCTACTTGTTACACAAGCATCCTTAGAAAAATATTGAACAAAACTGCCCGGTTAGTACCTTGTTCATATGCTGTGCAGAAAGATGAGAGATCCACAGATAATTGTTTCCCAACACTAACATTTCATTAGGACTTTGGCTTACGAGAGAAGTTTGTCACAGTCAAATCAAATATAGAAACGAATCTCTAAATGTGAAATGTTTTATTTGAGAAGCAAGAATTGTAGTTCCAGGGCACACATACAAGACCATGTGGTCTTCAACATGTCCAAAATACAAAGAGGAGGTTGGAAGTTTTATAAAAAGGAGAAATGTTATTTTGTTTGTTTGTTTGAAAGACAGTTCACTGGCACTAGTAAAGTTTTGGAGAGCTGGCAAGCTCTGACTGATGAGTGACTGAGGTGGATCAAACTTGTCTTAGTGTCACAGCAGGTTATTTCAGTGACCATTGGATAAAACTGGTTTCAGGTTACAATGGGGAGTTTCAGCAGGCTTGCCGAGAATTACATTCTTGGAGCAATGTTATGTTCCCTGAGTGTTTTTGTTTTTGTTTTTTCCCACCTGGCCTCTCAACTTTGTTTTAGTTGACTGTCAAGAATGACCCAATTTGTATGATCAACTTTCACTGGTTGTTCTGTAGTTTTTGTTTCTTATAAAATCCTTGGCAGATTTTGGTATCAAAGTTTTTCCAGCCTCATAAAATGAGTTGGGAAATGTTCTTTCTGTGTTTTCTGGAAGAATTTAGGGAGATTTGTGATATTTCTTTCTTAAATGTTTGAATAAATTTACCCATGAAACTTTGGTAGTCAGGAGGCTACAACTGAAACTGTGGGCTTCAAAACATGCTGTTGTGGCTGCAAGACAGCCATCAAGAAGCTACTGCTGCCACAAAGTCCTTTCAACACACAAAAATCAATGACCGGGCACCAGGATGCTGCCCAGTACTCAGCATCTCCATTACCAGACAGCCCAATAGGCAATAGGGCAATAGGAAGATGATGCTTGCCTCATTCTCATCTTCCAAAATTCCATTCAAGAGCATTGAATGGATAAAATAAGTTTTGCATTCAGCACCCTAGATGCAAGGGAATCCTGGAAATGCTGTACAGTTGTTAGCTTACTAGTGTCTTTAGTACAGAAAAGCACACTACGAAAGTTTCAAGTGGACAGTATGCCCAAGTTTACCACATTCTGTAAAAGGTAAATAATTCAGATATAACTTAAAAGCAGTAGGTTTAATCATGCCTACTCTGCTTCCTGAGAAAATATCTTCAAAAATCATGCCATAAAGGGTATCAATGGGTCTTTAGCAACATAAAAAGAATTTGACTAAAGCAAATAGTGGTATATATCACGAACCTTAAAATAATTATATTCTTTATACCATTAATTCCATTGCTAAAATTCTGAAATAAAGAAATAATCATAAATGCTATTTACATAGAAAAGTGTTTCTAATTGCATTATTCATAATATTTAAAAAATTTAAACATCCAATTCTCTTAAATTAGAAAAGTGGCCAAGTATATTGAAAGGCAAACATATAATATTATACAAATATTAAAATGATGATTATATAATTGTGAATAAAAAGTAAAGCTACAAAATTTTATGCACAGCATGATTTGAACTGTGTTAAATATCATAAAAGAAAAAGAAGGAAGGAAATAAGCCGAAATACTAGACAATAGATTTTGAGTAGTTTTTAACATTTTTTTCTGCTCTTTTTATGCTATTTATTACTTCCTAAGTTTACTGCAAAAAGCACACATTACTTTGTAATCAAAAATGAAATAAAAAGGGATTTATTCTCTAATGGGACAGTCTGGTATTTGGAAGAAAAGTTATTTTTGAATTGTTGAGATTATGTGAATCAAAGGCAATTGGAAAGAATCAGGACTTGTTTCTACTCTGTGCACACCACTAAAGGGATGTTATTGCTGACAGTTTAACAGTCAGTTTCAGAAAAAAGCAAGAGAACTATAGAATGCACCATATCTGGTTCAGTTATCTTCTTCTTGATTTTCTAGGAGTGTTGTTTAACATTCTAACTTTTGAAATACGTGAATAGCAACCACCTAGCTGCTCTTGTTGAAAATAAGAAGAATATCAAAGTTTCTTAAATTTCATTTGTATCATTTTGTTTTTATTATACTTTTTGAGGAAATTATAGATTCATATGCAGTGTAAGAAATAATACACAAAATACACAAAAATGCTTTACCCAGTTTTCTCCAATAATAATATCTTATAAAATTATAGTCACAGATCACACACACATGCCCTTAACCCACTTTTTAATGGGATTGTTTGTTTTTTTCTTACGGATTTGTTTGGGTTCATTGTAGATTCTGGATATTAGTCCTTTGTCAGATGTATAGATTGTGAAGATTTTCTCCCACTCTGTGGGTTTTCTGTTTACTCTGCTGACTGTTCCTTTTGCTGTGCAAAAACTCTTTATTTTAATTAGGTCTCATATATTTATCTTTGTTTTTATTGCATTTGCTTTTGGGTTCTTGGTCATAAAATCCTTGCTTAAAAAGCCAATATCTAGAAGGGTTTTTCCAATGTTGTCTTCTAGAATTTTTATAGTTTCAGGTCTTTGGTTTAAGTCCTTAATCCATCGTGAGTTGATTTTTTTTTATAAAGTGAGAGATGAGGGTCCAGTTTCATTCTCTTACATGTGGTTAGCCAATTATCCCAGAGCAATCAGACAAGAGAAAGAAATAAAGGGCATCAAAATCAGTAAAGAGGAAGTCAAACTGACATTGTTTGCTGACAATATGATTGTTTACCTTGAAAACCCTAAAGAGTCCTCCAGAAAGCTCCTAGAACTGATAAAAGAATTCAGCAAAGTTTCCGGATACAAGATTAACGTACGCAAATTAGTAGCTCTTCTATACACCAACAGTGACCAAGCAGAGAATCAAATCAAGAATTCAACCCCTTTTACAATAGCTGAAAAACAAACAAGCAAACAACAACAAAACAACTTAGGAATATACCTAACCAAGGAGTCAAAAGACCTCTACAAGGAAAACTACAAAACGCTGCTGAAAGAAATCATAGATGACACAAATGGAAACACATCCCATGGTCATGGATGGGTAGGAGCAATATTGTAAAAGTGACCATACTGCCAAAAGCAGTGTATAAATTCAATGCAATCCCCATCAAAATGCCACCATCATTCTTCACAGAATTAGAGAAAATTCTAAAATTCTTATGGAACCAAAAAGAGCCTGCATAGCCAAAGCAAGACTAAGCAAAAAGAAAAAATCTGGAGGCATCACACTACCTAATTTCAAACTATACTATAAGACCATAGTCACCAAAACAGCATGGTACTGGTATAAAAATGGGTACATAGACCAATGGAACAGAATAGAGAACCTGGAAATAGACCCAAATACTTATAGTCAACTGATCTTCAACAAAGCAAACAAAAACATAAAGTGGAGAAATCATGCCCTTTTCAACAAATGGTGCTGGGACCATTCTCTATTTCTAAAATTTGTCATTTCAAGAATCTTATATCAATGGGTATATAGCATATAGCACTTGGAGGTTGGCTTTTTTTCACTCAGCATATTTTTCTTTTGTAGATTTATCCAGGTTGTTTCAAGTATCAGCAGTTTTTCCTTTTTTATTGCTGAGGTAGTGTTCCATGATATGGATCCACCAGTTTGTTTAACCATTAATTGATTGAAGGATATCTTGGTTGTATCGTTTTCCACTATTACTAAGGTAGCTGTTGTAAATATTTTGGTATGGGTTGTTATGTAAGCATATGTTATTCGTTATTACGCTTATTTCTCTGGAATAAGTGCCCAGAATGCAATTCATGAGTTGTATGGTATTTGCAGGTTTAGCTTCTAAAGAAACTGCTGGAGTTTTCCAGAGTGGCTATATCATGGTACATTCTCATCAGCAATGTATGAGTGATCCAGTTTCTCCACATCCTTGTCAGCATTTGGTGTCACAGATTTTTATTTTAGCCATTTTAACAGATACATAGTGGTATCTCATTCTGTTTTTAATTTTCATTTTCCTAATGGCTAATGAGGTTGAACATCTTTTGAGATGACTTTTTTCCATTTGTATACCTTCTTTGGTGAAGTGTCTGTTCATGTCTTTTGCCCGTGTTCTAACTGAATTGTTTGCTTTTTTACTGTTGAATTCTGAGAGCTCTTCACATATTACAAATAATAATCCTTTTATCAAATATGTGGTTTGTAAATATTTTATCCCGGTTAGTAGCTTGTTTTTTCACCTCCTTAACAGGATCTTTCAATGAGAAAATTTTAAAAAACTTTTGGTGACACAGAATTTATTAATTTTTTATTTTATGGATTATGCTTTTGTTGTCAAGTCTAAGAACTCTTTACATAGCTCTTGAACCTGAAAATATACACCAATGTTTTCTTCTAAAAGTTTTATAGTTTTAACTCCATGATTCATTTTCAGTTAATTTTTGTTGAAAGTGTGAGACTTAGATCAAGGCTCTTTGCATTTGTTTGTTTATTTGCTTATGGAATGGATTCCCAATTGTTTCAGTGTCATTTGTTGAAAAGGCTCTTTCCCCCTTATTTCCTTTTCACATTTGTGAAAAATTACTTGGGCATATTTGTGTGACTCAGTTTCTGGGTTCTCTATTGTGTTCCATTAATCTCTATGTTTATTTCTCCACAGTACCATACAGTCTTGATTATTGTAGGTATATAGTAAATTTGAAATCAAGTAAACTATTCTTAATTATTTTCTTCAAAATTGTTTTAGTTATTCTATGTACTTTGCCTTTCTATACAAATTTTACAATAATCTTGTCTATAGCTATAAAAAATCTTTCTGGATTTTGATAGACATTGTATTCATTCTTTTTTTTTTTTTCTTTTTTCTTTTTTTTTTTTTTGAGATGGAGTCTCACTCTGTCACCCAGGCTGGAATGCAGTGGCACAATCTCAGCTCACTGCAACCTCTGCTTCCTGGGTTCAAGTAATTCTCTTGCCTCAGCCTCCCGACTAGCTGGGACTACAGGCATGTGCCACCTCACCCGGCTAATTTTTTGTATTTTTAGTAGAGACAGGGTTTCACCATGTTAGTCAGGATGGTCTCAGTCTCCTGACCTTGTGATCCATCCACCTTGGCCTCCCAAAGTGCTGGGATTACAGGCGTGAAGCCACTGTGCCCAGCCATGTTAATTCTTTATATAAATTGAGAAAAAAATCATTTTTACTGTATTGAGTCTTTTATTCCATGAACATGGTATACCTTCTCAATTATTTAATCTTCTTTAGTTTCTTTCATCAGTATTGTGTAGTTTCCATCATATAAGTCTTAAACAAATTTTGTTAGATTTACACTTAAGTATTATAATATTTGAGTACTTGTAAATGGTACTGTATTTTTAATTTCACTGTTCACATGTTCATTGCCAGTATATAGAAATGCAATTGACTTTTATTTATTGTATATTATACCACATTATTGACTTTGCTTATTATTTCTAGGTATTTTTGTAGATTCTTTGTAATTTTCTACATTATATTGTCTTAGAAAATAGACAATCATATTGTCTTCAAATAGGAGCAGTTTTTATTTCTTCTTTTCTAGTCAATATCCCTTTTATTTCTTTATATTGCTGAATGCTCTGGCTAAAATTTCTAGCACTGTTGAAGAAGAGTGGTGAGACTGGACATTCTTATTTTGTTCCTTATCTTACAGGGAAAACATTCACTTTTTTACCATTAAATATATAATTATGCACAGATTTTTAATAGATACTCTTTACCAAGTTGAATAAGTTCCCCCTCTATTCCTCTTTTTCTGAGTTTTTGTCATAAGTGATCATTGAATTTTGTCAAGTAATTTTTTAGCATTAACTGATATTATGTGATTTTTCTTTTTTAGCCCATTAGTGTGGTGGATCACATTGATTAATTTTCAAATATTGAAACATACTTGCATTCCTGGAATTAAATTAACTAGATCATGGTAAATAATCCCTTTCATATATTGCTGAATTCTATTTGCTTTTTTAAAGGATTTTTGTATTTATATTTAGGAAACTAACTGGTCTGTAGTTTTCTTTTTCTGCCCTATCTTCACCTGCTTTTGGTATCAGGGTAATACTAGCTTCATAAAATGATTTGAAAAATGTTACCTCCTCTTCATTTTTTTGGAAAAATTGTGTAAAGTTGGTGCTATTTATTAAACATTTCATAAAAATTTCCCCTGTAACCATCTGGGCTTGGAGATTCCTTTATGGGGATCTTTTAAATCATCAATCCAATTGCCCTATTAGTTATAGAGCTGTCCAAATTATCTATTTTATATTGGATAAGTAGTGGTTACTTGTGTTTTTTAGGGAGTTGGCCCATTTTTACCTAAGTTGTCCAATTTATGCATGTAGAGTTGTTCATAGAACAGTCGACCCTCTCTACCCATGGGTTCTGCATCTCTGGATTCAACCTACTGAAGACTGGAAATATTTGAAATAAAAAAATGCATCTGTACTGAACATGTACAGTCTTTTTTTCTTGTCATTATTCCCTAAATAATGGAGCATAACAACTGTACATAGAGTTTACATCATATTTGGTAATATAAGTAATCTAGAGATGATTTAAAGTATATGAGAGGATGTACATAGGTTATTTGCAAATACTATGCCATTTTCTATCAGGGATTTGAACATCCACTGATTTTGGTGTCCACGGGAGATCCTAGAACTGATCCCCAACAGATACTGAAAAACAATGTATTCCTTCATTATCCTGATATTCCCTATTCCATTATTGAATTGGCAAACTGTGTCTTTTTTTTCTCTTCTTTGTCCTTCACTTCTCTTACTGCTTCCACTTCCTGTGTGTACCTCTAAAAGGACATTGTTACAGAAAATGTAATAATCCCTTTCAGGAGAAAGCAGAATCTGCCATATCTCATTGAGTACATCTGCTTAATATTCCTGCAGTCTTGTTTAATATTTTTAGTTTTGAAATATTTGAACAATAGGACCTGGGCAGTTGCTCTTGTTAAACACAAGGAATAACTCATCAAATTGCCCCAAGTTTTCTATTCTAACTGCCTAATTCAATTTTCTTCAGTCTCAGTTGGACATTTAGGGAATGCTAGAGAAAAGGACACAGAGTACATGATGGAAGTTTTGCTGGACTTTTGTCCTGACCTGTCATTTATAACCTAATTGAAGTGAGAAAAATTCTGTGTGGATACATACTGCCTCAACTTAATCCTAAATCATTTGAGAGGTCTACCTAACCTTTCTCAGGAACTAATTTAAGAGCTTTACAAGGTAACTGAGTTATTCCAGTCCTTTGAAAGCTTCCTTTACTCTCTTCCCTATAAACTGATATTGGCTTTGTTACCCAGGATTTGACTCTGTGTTTTAACTCTACTGGATTTCCCAGGAGCTTGACACTGTGTTCCACAGGAATACATTATGGGTATAAAACTCCTCACTGAAAATAAAGATGACAGATTTTAAGGATGACAGAGTATCTATGTTTAGATGGAAAAAAAAAAAACAGATTGGGAAACAAGAAAACTAACTATAGACAATCATCTATCACTTGGATCTTAAGCAAATCTTTAGTAAGTCCCAGTTTCCTGTTTGCTGGCTACACATATTTATTCCCAGCCCTCAACCTCGGGGAGAGGAATTACCAAAAGAAAACTAATAAACATCGAGTCACATAGAAGTAAACTGAAGAAAACATACGCCGTTAATTAACCTAGTTATTCCTAGTAGTTAGTTGCTGTGCATTTTTGACACTGGCACATAGCTAAGAACAGCCAGAAATATGTTTATAAGATGTTTGTTATATAAAACTATAGTATTTTAGAAATTTTGCCAAATTCTCTCATTCAGAAGATAAGAAAACTAAGTATTGGAGGCATTTCATCAACTCACTGATGGAGTTTGGACAAGAAAATATGTGTCTTCTAACTTTTCCCATCCACATTTTACTTTAGCAGCATTTTTCTTTAATTTAGCAATTAGCTTTTATATTACTGACAACAATGTTTTTCTCCTATACCTATGTGTGATACATATTCCTTTTGGGTTTTTTTGTTTGTTTGTTTGGTTTTGTTTTTGCAACAATACTTACTGGAACATTTTATGCAAGGGTATCAAATTAATAGAATTTTGTAAATGAATATGAGCCAATCAAGTAGAATGGATTAAGTCTCACTTGTGAGTAAAGAGTTTGCAGTTAAATAATAAGATCATATTCTTTATGCATGGCTAGCTACACAGGCTCCATGTGAAATTAGTAGAGGTTTCTCTCTTTTCACTCCTTGAAAGAGGAAATGAAATTTGGCTTTATTTATATTGATAGACCATAAGAGCATGTGTCTTTGGAGGTATCATTAGATAAGGAACAAAGACGAGTCCAATCTGAGAGTTAAGAAAGATTTTAGAAGTTGCCTAGTTTAATTTGTCTATTCATGGCAATAATACTTATTCACCCAATTTAATTAAGGAATGACATTTTTTGGCATATATCAATAAACATCAAGCTGATTGTTTATGGTCTTAGTAGAAGAGCTGGCAGAAGTTGGGTGTATGTGAAGTCAGCCTGGAGGCAAATCAAAGCAGATGGCAGATTTAAGAGATGACCTCAGGCTGAGGCAGTGCTAGAATCAGATGTAGACAAAACCAGGAGGCCACAAAAGAAAAAGATTAGGCATAGCAAGTACAGGTTCTTGGTCACTGGGCAAGAAAGACTTAGAGTTGTGTCAATGCCCTCCAGTCAAAGACCACCAGGAACAGACCTGTAGTTAAACAAGCTGAGTGTATTCCTTCTTACAGCAAAGGAGAATGCACACCACGGGGAAGTGTGGGGCATCTCAAGTAGAAAGTGTTTGAAAAAACTTGTGGGATTTGGTCTTTGGTTGGGTCATTTTGTGAATGGAACAGGTAGTAGGGATTCATTCTTGATTGGATTTTCTCAGAAGGAAAGAACAGTTTCACAACTGGATATCTCAGTAACAAGTAATAAAAGAATAATGTCTATACTTAAGTGTCTTGTTTTCTGATCATTTTTTCCCATCCAGATGAACATGTACATAGTCTCCCATCCCTAAAATTTGTATTTTAAGTAAAGAGTTTTCTTCCCATGACTGCTTTGTTGGGTGTTCATTTTGTATGCTCTTAATTTTTAGTTCCTTGTCGTGGGTTCAGACAAACACACCTCCCTCAGTACTGCCTGTTTGCCTGCTTCTGTTTTATCTTGCCCTCCTCAAATGTTTTTGATGAAATCAAGTTTTCTCAGCTTGGTTAAATTTCAGAATCAGCCAAGACCCTTGGTAAGGGTACAGATTTCAAAGATGCTCACTGATTATTATGATTCATTAGCTTTGAGGTAGAACCTGGTAGTCTGTATTTTTATTAAATAGTAAGACACCATATAAGCAAGCTTCTTAAATCTATTAATATTTGTTCATATTAAAAGTAAATAGCTGGGAGCAGTGGCTCACACCTGTAATCCCAGCATTTTGGGAGGTCGAGGTGGGCGGATCACTTGAGGTCAGGAGTTCAAGACCAGCCTGATCAACATGGCGAAATCCTGACTCTACTAAAAATAGAAAAATTGGCCAGGCATGGTGGTGCACACAATGTCCTTTTAGAGGTACACACAGCTACTCAGGAGGCTGAGGTGGGAAAATCGCTTGAACCAGAGAGGTTGAGGTTGCAGTGAGCCAAGATCACACCACTGCACTCCATCCTGGGTGACAGAGTGAGACTGCATCTCAATCAGTCAATGTAAACAGAACCCAAGTGAAGACATTATATTATCCTTTGAGAAAATGTTTTAACTTTTAAAATTATCCTTTGAGAAAATGTTGCATTTGCCTTTGGAAATTGTATTTAATGCAGAAAAAGACAAAGAATAACATAATAGACATCTGAATATTTGCCGTCCAGCATTTTAAAAGGTTAAATTTTAAAAGGTTAAAATTTATCTCACGTTTCAGAAATTTTTAAGTAAAATAAATACTACCAGTAAATATTATTTTTATCTATTTACGCTTGTATTTAGTTCTTATCAATCTTGTTCCCTTGTTTTATTCACAATCTTGTTTCCTTGTTTTATTCACAAATGCATAAAAATGCATAAAAATGCATATCTTTATGCATTTTTCACCATTATTTTAGACATCTATTTGATCTATCTAGATCTAGTTCATTTATTTCTCACTGCCATATAGTATATACATGTGTAAATAATTTCACCATTTAATTTCCTATTCCCCTACTGTTGGATATCTGCTTGATTCTAATATTTTGTTCATATATTCAATGCTGCCTTTTCCCTCCTAGCGCCTGCCTCCTTGTGCATACACACAAGGGTCTTTAGAATTTATAACGAGTGGTCTAGTTTGTGCATTTTCAACTGTGAAGAAATTGCCAACATGCTTTCCAAAATGACAACATATATATGTGTGTGTGTGTGTGTGTGTGTATGTGTGTGTTACATACACAAAATACTGTATTTCATCAGTACAAACTGTCCATTGGCCTAACTAATTAGAGGTGCTGTTTTCTGAATTTTTTGCATATGTATATTTTTTATATACATACATTTTGTGTGTATACATATGTGTGTGTATATATATATATATATATATATATATAAAATCAGCAGTTTGTCAGAGTTAGCTTTCCCCCATAAACTTACTCACACCAATAAAGTACAGTGTGAAATATTTATACTTACACCATAAAATACAGCATAAAATAGACTTTCAATTTGAGATGTATGAAATAGTAATCTAGTGTTTTAGTTAGCATTTATTTAATTATTGGTGAGGATGAGCATCTTCTCAAATGCTCTATACTTACTTGGATTCTTGTTCAGTGAATTGGCCTTTCTGACTCTTTGCCCAATTCTCATTGGTTGTGTTGCTTTTTCCTGTTGATTACCTGTCGATTAGAATTTCTTCATAAATTTGGAATACTACCCCCTATACACATTGCAGGCAATGCACTTTGCTATTATAATTTTTTACTACCAATTTTTAGCTTTCAGATATATTCCTGATGATTGATAGGGTCTGAAAAGTTACTGCAGGTAAATGTTCCTACAATTAGTTATTTTCCCTGTTTATAAGAAAATAGATATCACAAAAGTTGAGATGATTTAGAGCCTAAGGTAGAGTTTCTATACTTTTGTCATATACATAATAAAACAAAAATAAATAAAAAAACTAAAGCAATACACTTACAGTTGATCAGCTTTAATTTGATTTTTGCTGAAACAGTAGCCCTGGAAGTTGATGTACTAGTACCTTTCACATCTTTTTCTAAATTAACGAATTTGTGAAAATTATTTTAGAGAGACGAAGTTACGCTAAGCCTCTTTCTAAAACAAATGTATTCCTCTGTCAATGAAAATTGGAAGGAATTAAAGGGCACATTAGCATACAAAATGTAATTTTAAAAAATACTGCTGAAAAGTCAGACCTTCATGTTGCTAATTCTGGTAGTAAAAATAACTCTATAGATTTAGCATAACGTGTATGTGTTGCTAGCAGACTAAAGGTTAAACAAATTTAAACTGTTAGACTGAAACTAGTACCCCAAGCTACTTTCAGCTCAATTTTTCTGGTGAATCAAAAGAAAACAAAAATGCTTGGTAGCTCTTTCTTTCAGTGTAGAGGTAGCTTTGCATTTTTGTAGATGCTGATTTCTAAATATTTGGGTTTTGTTTGTTTTTTGTTGTTGTTGTTGCTTTTTGCTCACCTTTAGCATCTCAAAAATGCTGAAGCCTGTTCATTTTATAAGATCTCTATTATATGAGACAAGAAGACACTCAGAATTTTTTAAAAGAAGGATTTTTATAAAATTGCATTCCTAGAATTCTAGATACTGCTTTTAAATTTTCAAATAGAAACACTTGTTTTTAGAACTGCGTGTTCTTTTTCTCCTGAGCACATTTCTGTCTTATTCTTTTTTTTATAAAATAGGCATAAAATACTCCTCCCATTTTATCAGTACAAACTGTCCATTGGCCTAACTAATTAGAGGTGCTATTTTCTGAATTTTTTGCTTATTTGTCCCACATGCCTCATAGAAAATGTCAGTCAGCATATTAAGAGGAGGAAGTATGGGCACCAAAATTAGGCTATGTTTTAAAACCTGGTAGGAGATGGGTCATCCCGAAGCAATATTGAAGAGGAGGAAATGGTTGTCTCCAGCAAGCTAATTTCTCTTATCTTCACTCTTTCTTCTTTTAAGCATCCCCTTTACCACTTTCCCACCTATGTACTTCTCCTTTCCACATACAAATATCACACACACACACACACACACACGTACACAATGTCCTTGTGATCTCACCAGTCATCTCATCTCTTCTGTGTTGTATTAACCACTAACAGAGAGGAATATATTAAGCTCATTCCAAGTGAAATGTTAGGTAATAGTATCATATCCCTTCCTGAAATATTTATATTGTAACAGAGATGCTAGAAAAACCATTGCCTTGCTTGTTTTTTCAGTCCAGAATCCATCTGGTACTATGTTGGGACTAAACTGTGATTTAATCCCTGGACACAAAAACTAAAATCTCCCTAGATCCGTCCCTGTCCTTTATGCTATTACCCATTACCAGGGATTTTGCCCTCCCAGACTGTCTGGGGGTGGGAATGCTGTCCTTAACCCTTAGTCTCCAGGACTGGCCATTGATATCTGCTGCCAGACCTCACTGACATGAGTTGCTTGCTGCCCAAGACCTACCACTGACCAAATCCCCTCACACTATCATCTGTCCACCTACCGGGCCAAACTGTTTCTGCAATGGCCAGATAGTATTTTAGGGTTTATGAGCCATACAGACTCTGTTGCAACTACTCAACTTTGCCATTGTAGCACAAAAGCAACCATATACAATACATAAATGAGTGGGAATAATTGTGAGTCAATTAAACTTTATTTACAAAAACAGACTGTGGTCCTGATATGACCTACAAACTGTAGTTTACAAGCCTGTTCCTCAGACACTTGGCTATACAGCAGGCAATTGGTTTTGCTCATTCAGTCATCTATTCATTCACTCATTCATTCACTAAATGCATATTGTGCCCATGCTGTATGTCAATTGCTTAATGCTTACTACGTATTGATACAAAGATGACTAATACACAATATTTCCCCTGTATTAGCTCAGAGTTCCAAGAGAAAGATAGGTTTGTAAATTAATAATAATAACTTGATAAGGTAAGTGTGTGTCATCCTGGATTTGCTGTTGTTGCAAATTACAGTAAACCTTTCTCAAATTGGCTTAAGCAAAAGATATCTTGATATCTGCTGCCAGACCTCACTGATGTGAGTTGCTTGCTGCTCAACACTTATAGCTGACAAATCCCCCACACCATCATCTGTCCACATGCTGGATGATTGGCCATTAGTTTGGATGGCCTAAATTGCCTGATTCAAGGAGACTGTATAATTGGTATAATTCCTGGCCATGCAAAGACCTGTGTGTCTATGCCACCTCTATAGTCTCAATAGGAGGAACAAGTTGCCAGTGTGCAATTTGAGACATCTATAAAGGAGTTTAATTTAGCAGAGGAAAAGTTAATCTGAGTAAACAAAAATTCACATCATAGATGCAACTCCCATGTCATATGTACATAAGCCTAATCCTAATGGTACAAATAATACAACAACAGTACAACTATAACAATAGTAAATAACATTTACTAAATGCTTACTATTTGCCAGGTACAGTTCTAAGCATATTATTAACTGCTTTAACCCTCACTATAGGATTAAATGATAGATACGGTTTTACCCCCATTTTATAGATGAAGATCCGGGAGCATAGACAGAGCTTAAATAACTTGCTCATTTAGAATAAGGCACAACTAGGATTTGAACCCAGACAGTCTGGATTCTGCCTTTATGCTAGGATTCTGCCACTCTGATATACTGTAGAGCTCTGTTTCCAGTCTGTTGTGAAACCATAACCTTGGAGTTTTAACATTATGTTCATTTTAAGAGGCTCAGAATTGTCAGCTGTAGGGTAGGAAGTAAATTCCCTTTTGTTGTTCAAAGATCAGGGCTGTAGCTAGTTGTCCTACATTCTACCATAACATTTTAGTAGACTGTGTTATATCATGTCAAGATATTTAAATTCTCCCATGTCTTTCTGGGCATTTGCTAAATGAGAATAACTATTTATCTACCTTAGGATTTCTACTGAAAATTATTATATTACAACGCATCTTTGTGAAATATAATCATTTGATTTAAAAACTTTCCATAGAGAGTTTACAACAACATTAAATACCTACACTTATAAACCAAGTTATTCGCAAAGGAGTTTAGTATTCCCAACGTAGCTAAAATTCAAACTAGGATTTCCAAGTCTAATTTTTCTTCTACCTCACTTATGTGGATTGTTTTTTGAAAAGATCTAGTGATTATTTCTTGAGTTTTAACCAAGTAATACAATATAAAATGTCATATTATAAACTTTCTTTAGAAAGTTTAAGTAGTCCTTTAAAGTTCTTTCTAAAGAACTTTAGTTCTTTAGAAAATTTTAAGTAGTCCTTTAAATTTATAGTTGAAAATTTGTAGTCTGGCTTTTAAAAGTGTGTGAGTGTGCACATGTATGCACACAAATGTGTGATGTCTTCTGTAGTTTAGATATATGAGAGATTTTATTCTCAAATTAAAATAACAGCTTAGCAGGACTGAAATATCCTTAATTCCCCTCTTCGGATCATAAAACAAGACTGTTGAGTAATAATTCTACCAAGGCACACTTGGAAATTATTGCTACTAAATGAACCTATGTTGTTTTTAATATTATTTTGCTAAAACATTCGTGTCTTTTCACTTTAAGTGCTAGAATTGCCTGATTGTATTTTGCAGATATCTCACTGTTTTCCTCTTCAATTAGAGCATCCATATGAATATTAAGTAACCATGGTGTATCCACCATTTGTTCTCAAATGCATGTAATTTCAGAAGACTCATAGGATATTAAAGAGTTAGTGGTAGTATTGGCAAATGAGGGTGGAGTTGTTTCAGTTTTAGGAATGAATTACTTTTTATGCTTATTACTTTCCTGTGTTCATAATAAAATAAATGCTTTTTAAATTGTGAATGAGTACAAAACATAGAAAATTATTTTAAAAAATAGGTAAACATTTCCAGAAATAATGGAAAGACAAATTAATGCCTTTTTTTCCAATTTCTGATAGTGTATGTCATTAATACCTCTCCTTCCCTCCATAGATGTAGATTAATTGAGAATTACACTATCTCGTGTTATATTCAAAAACACGTTAACATAAAATGACTCCAGTAAACTTTATTCATAATACTAACTAGTGTCACTTAAGTTTTTAATTGTATCAGGCACTATCAAAGTGACTAGCAATAATTATCTCCTGTAACCTTAACAACATCAGCGGAAAGTTAGCATTATTGCTTCTATTTTATGGATTTGGAATCTGAGACACAGACGGGGCAAGTGACTTTCCCAGTTAGTGGTGGAGCTGGGCTGAGAACCCACATAGTTCAACTCTAGAGACCATACACTTAACTACTCACTATTTTGTACCATGCTTCCCTTTCCTCACCTGTTTTAAGGATTTCTGTTGAAAAATTGGATGAAATACTCCTGTTTCTGGAGAGTGTTTACAATTTGGCCATGAGGTTTATGCAGCTACTTTGTTGCTCTGCAGCTGCGATCACTCTCATTAAATAGTAATATCTATTAAGCAGGAAACTTTTCCCGGTTTTTTTCTAGTATAGTACTTGTTCCTTTTCTTTTATGTGCCTTCACAGAGCTGTCCCTGACCAATTCAAGATTATGGCAGCAGAATACCTCTTTGAAGTTCATATCTTATATTAATAGAAACACTTGTAACTCAATCTTTGTTCATTCTTGTACTGGAGAGGTCTCTGCCATGTGAATCAAATCCTGAACACAGCTGATTTAATTAGAGGTGGTCAAATTATAGCCAAAATCATAGGTCATGAGCAATCCTGGCTAAAAAGTTCTGCCTGAAGAGGGAAAAGGGAAACTAAATGTGCCAAATGGATTTAATTTCATGCATTTAAATTAGAGGCACAAACATAATTAGTGTAAGAAGCGGGAAGGCTACTGAATTAGCACCATATAAGGCTTTTTAACCAGTATTTTCAAACTCTACTAGCTCTAAAATAATTTTGCAAAACTTTGTATCCTATAACACATTTTCAGTTGTAGCCTGTAATTTTTATCATAAATTTAAACAGTTGCAAGGAATATATTTTCTAACATTAGTAAACACTGAAATTTGAAAATTAAAATGATCTTTTAAGTGAAGTAGAATTCTTAGACCTGAGCAAGAGGAACCCTGCACACTGTGAAGGCATACCATATAAATTCATTTTAAAAATGCCCAGGACCCTCTATTACCAGGAGCATAGCATTTAACACTCATGCAGAAAGACCTGTAACTCTAAACATCTGCTCTCAATACTAACGCCATTCAACACCAGGGAATCACTTTTGCACATCTCCTGCCCTAGTCCTCCACACAAAAAGAAAGTGCATGTAAATGTTAGAAAAGCCTGGAGGATGTACTGCCACTGAGGTCTGAGTCAGATGCTGCTTTGGAGGGAAGGGTATATTTGAAATGCTTAAGATACAGACAAATAGATTAACTTATCAAATCCCTATACCAGAGGCATGAATGCAAAGTTCTTAAAATAACAAAGTAATTTTTCCTACCAGGTCAAATACCCATTTTCTTGCCTCTCTAATTTCCGATTAAAATGATATTTGCCAAGAGTTGTACACAGTAGCTGAGGAGTATTTATCAATAATAAACAATTCCTATTACCCTATATTTATGTATGTGAATATTTAGACCTCTTTTGCATGCACAACTAGATGGAAATTTAACAATAAAATTGCAAATAATTTTCTTTGTATAAATATATTTAATGTTAAATTCAGTGTTCAAAAATTAAGTAATTTTGATTTAAAAGTAACTTTTTTCAAAAACATTAAAAAATTCTTGTTTTGCATTTACTATAATTCTTTATAAACATATTGTTCAGTTTTGTGCACTTTGATTATAATTATAATTTGCTTTTAATTTTGTAGATTATTACTGTCATTAAAACACAAATTATGTGAAAATTTTGATTATGACAAAATAATTTAGCTATCCACTAAATAGAATAAAAATAAAATTTATGAAAGAACATACAATCATTTATATATTACATATGTCATTACTTTTTTTTTTTTTTTTTTTTTTTGAGACGGAGTCTCGCTCTGTAGCCCAGGCTGGAGTGCAGTGGCGCGATCTGGGCTCATTGCAAGCTCCGCCTCCCAGGTTCACGCCATTCTCCTGCCTCAGCCTCCCGAGTAGCTGGGACTACAGGCACCCGCCACCACGCCTAGCTAATTTTTTGTATTTTTAGTAGAGACGGGGTTTCACCATGTTAGCCAGGATGGTCTCGATCTGCTGACCTCATGATCTGCCCGCCTTGGCCTTCCAAAGTGCTGGAATTACAGGCATGACCCACCGCGCCCGGCCCATTACTCTTAACGTATCCAAAAACAAGTAGTCCACCAAAAGAATACCCAAATGCACGCAATTCAGTACTCACAAACATTATGCCATTTTTAGGGCATATAAAAACCAAAAATTTACACATTTGTTATTCTGTGACATTGAGAGAACATTTTTCAAGGTAAAATAGAGCATATTTTTCCTAACAATTTTTCAGCTACACTTGTAACTCCTGAATACCTAAGCCTACAGCAGGTGGGCCTCATTTCTACTCAGGGCCCAGGCCCACTAGCGTCTGGAGGCAGCCAGCTTGAATGTATCTCACAGAATCTAAATATCATACTGATTTGATGCTCAGTCTTTCTCATTTTTAAACACATTTTACTTATTTGATCGTTTAATTGACATATAAAAATTGTATATATTTATGTGTGTAATATATCATTTCGAAATACGTATACATCGTGAAATGGCTCAGTTGAGTTTCCTTATCCATTTTTAAAAGTAATCACCACATTTTTTCATGGAATCGAAAACTTTCGCTATCCCCTTCAATCTTTGTACTCAAATTTCTATTTCACTTCCCCACAGGTGTGTATGTCTTAATGTAATATTCCTAGTGAATTTATTCATACTTGAAGGCCTATAATTAATCACCCTATCATTCTTTGTTACAATTATTATTTATACAGATGATGAAAGTGTATTAAAAGTTTCAATAGGAATATTAAACACAAAAATGTATCTCTTAATGCTGAGAATGTTGTAATTAGTTCATGTATCCATGTATCCGTATTACTTTTGCTAGAATGGGGTTAGGTTTCAGCATCAGTTCAATTCTACATGTTCAATTTTTACAGATTTTTTTTTTTTTTTTGAGACGGAGTCTTGCTCTGTCGCCCAGGCTGGAGTGCAGTGGTGCGATCTCCGCTCACTGCAAGCTCTGCCTCCTGGGTTCACGCCATTCTCCTGCCTCAGCCTCCCAAGTAGCTAGGACTACAGGCCCCTGCCACCATGCCCGGCTAATTTTTTGTATTTTTAGTAGAGATGGGGTTTCACTGTGTTAGCCAGGATGGTCTCGATCTCCTGACCTCGTGATCTGCCCATCTCAGCCTCCCAAAGTGCTGGGATTACAGGCCTAAGCCACCGCGCCTGACCCTGAGAAACTTCTTTACAAAAGTATGTAGAGGAAATGGAAGGAGATTTTAATTCTCTGTCAAGAATACCCACCTTCAATTATGCTGAAAAGAAAGGATTAGAAATTAGCAACTTTTTCCTCTGATCCTCTGGATCAGGATTACCCTGATCCAGCCACAGTTCCCTCTTGCCTGGATTATTAATAGGATCCAAAATGTTATCCCTGCTTTTACCCCTGCTTCCTTTCAATCTATACCCACATTCCATAGCAGCAATGGCTAGTCCGTTAAAGGAAAAAGAAAATCGTATCACTCCCCTGTTTAAAAATCTCCCTTGGCTTCCCATCTCACTCTGAGTAAAAGCCAAGAAACTTACAGTGATCCTCAAGGCTATGCAGAAGCTAGCCTCCTTTTCCCTCCCTGGCCTTGTCTCCTATTCTTGTCCTCATTCACTCCACTGCACCTCACTGGCCCCTTTGCCATTGCTCCATCAGACCCGCATGTCCCCATCTCCAAGAGCCTGTGCACCGGTTTTTCCTCTGCTGAGAATGCTCTCCCCTCAACATCACCACTTACCTTCCTTCTTACAAGACCCTGCTACTTCTTTGTTGTAAAGCTAAGCCTTCTACACCTCCCTGTCTCCAGCCCTGCCCATCACACAGGTCATTTCCTATTTTCCTACTTTTTTTTCTCTTGGCAATAATTACTTCATGACATTCTAGATATTTTACATTTAAATTTTGTTTATAGTTATTCTACCCCCTAAGAGGTAAGCCACATGAGGGAAGGGAATTTGGAAAGTGTGATTAAATGCAGTATCACAGTATCTTGAATATAGTACATGCTTGATAAACACTTGTTGAACACTGCATTGATTGTCTATGCTGTGTAACAAAGTACCACAAACGCAGCAGCTCAGAACAACATGTATTTATTATCTCACAATTTCTGTGAATCAGAACTCCTGGCTGGGTCAGGTTGTCATAAGTGCAGGAATCTCATGAGATATCAGCCGGGCAGTGATACTTTCTCAACCTCAGGGTCATCTTCGCAGAATTCAGTTTCTTGCAGCTTCAGAGCTTTGTTGTTGGCTATCAGCCAGGGCCCACTGTCAGGTCCTGGGGGACCCCAAGGTTCCTTGTTCCTTGGCCCTTTCACAGATCCCTCTCACAATACGGCAGCTGACAGCCAAGAGGAGAATCCCTCCCATCTAAGACAGAGGCTTACGTGATGTAATGTAATCTTTGGAGTGGCTATTCCATTATATTCACAGTTCCTGCCTCCTTCCAAAGGGAGAGGATTATACAAGGTGCGGGACTGAGACACCATCAGCAACTAGGAATCTTGAAAACCATCTTAGGGCTATGCTTACCACAAAGACTGAATTTAAAAAAAAAAAAAAAAGGAAAGATAAGTCTTTTCTTAGGATGTCTTGATTAAAGAACATTTAAAGATACCATTTTACACAAAGTTTTCCTGTTATCTGAGACCCTGAAGGCTTTTCATTCCCAAAAAAGATTCAGTTTGGGTGGGAGTAAAGTAGGTGAAGGACAAATGTGAAAGAAAAAGAACTGACCTCCCATCTTGACATTACTTAGGCAGATCAGCTTCAGGAAAGTGTATCCATGAAAGTTAAGATTCAGAACACTGAGTTCCCTTAAAACTGTCTGTACCTTTGGAAAGTCTTCGTGCACTCCGCAGACACTAATGTTCTCCAGTTTGAAGACTACTCATATAATCTATCAGAGTGTTACCGGTATCAAACATTGCCACTGCCTGACATTGTGACTTACCTCCAGCTATAATTTCTTTCAGCTGCTGTGACAAGATGCAATCGGAACACTTCCTAAAATAAAAGGATTTTCACCCATCCATCACTAATACCAGATTATGTCTATTTTCTAATTCCTTGATCATTTTCTTTATGGCATCTCACACTCGTAAACCCAGCACCTTGGGAGGAGGAGGTGGGAAGATCACTTGAGGCCAGGAGTTGGAGACCAGCTTAGGCAATATAGTAAGACCAAATCTCTCATTAAAAAAAAATTAATAATATAGCCAGGCATGGTGATGGGCACCTCAGCCAGGAGACTGAGCCAAGAGGATCACTTGAGCCCAAGAGTTCAAGGCTGCAGTTACCCGTGGTTAATTCTAGGATTATGAGATTTTTTTCATTTAAACTTTAAACTTTTCCTTTTTTTTTGCCTCTGTACTTTTTAATTTTTTGTTAGTCAGAAAGCATGGTCAACTTTACCTCAAAAACAAAACGAATCCCTGTTGTTTTGAAATAAAAAATTATTCTAAAAAAATTCATAAAAAATCAAGAACTCTTTATAAAAAATATATTTCATAGAGCAATTATGTATCTTAAGCAAAATATTCTGACAAAATGGAACTACCTCATTAGACTACAGGTTTCCAAACAAAAGACCCCCTTCTGTGTTGTTCCTCCTGTGTCCAGAAAAATACTTAGCACCAAGCAGGTGCTCAATGGATACTTACTGCAAAAACAACTCTCCTCACATAAAACGACTGAGATATTTTTAAAAATCTACTTATTATTTTTGCCATTGCCCATCTCTTATTTGTTTCTAAATAACTTGAGGAGAGTAAATATAAAATGTTTTTTACCCTGTGCCTTTTTCTTTCTCAAGCACATAATGCAATATAGAAAACAACCTCAAATAAATGAAATATAATAATAGAAATCTTTAATTAACCATTCTCTTGTGTTCCAGTTTTAAAAATGGAGGCGCATATGGTATGCACTAAGCCAGTAACAAGACTGTATTTCTGAGGACTGACTATCTTCATCCTTCAAGGAGAGGGTTTATTACAAACAACATTGTGTGGACCACTGCATTTCAGAATGATTTTAAACACGAACTTAAACAGGCAAAGGCCACCCATTGCTTACCCAGAAAAATCTTGAACAAGAATGTTATGGACATTCCACACATGGTAATTAATTACCACTTTGAAGTCGTGAGTGCAAAAGGATGCCTACTACCTAGTATGCTGGTCAGGTTTCTCTAATGCATTCATTCTATTTTATTCTACTTCTTAAAGGAAGCCACCTTGGAAAAGGCTTGTTGGCATAGGTTTGGTTGGAAATGAATATGAATGCTCACACACTAAATCAGTGGCTCTCAATTCTAGGAGAACATTAGGATTACAGGAGAGTTTAAAAATGCTGATGCCTATGGCCCATCTCAGACCAATGCGATCAGAAATCCTGGGGTTGGGATTGGAAACTGCGTGTGTGGTGTTATTTTTAATTTTTTCCTGTAATTTAGTGTGCTATCAGGATAAAGAGCCTTTATATCAGATTTTTAACTTCTTAAACTTAGAAACTATGTCTGTGTGATTTGCCTTTTTATCCTAGTGCTTACTACAGTGCCTGGTATCAGGGTCTCCCAGAAGTCACGATGCAGTTTTAAGCTTTAATAACTGTAGAAGCATAAGTGATACTAATTGACAACGAACATCATTTGAAAGCTTGATTGTATTTCAATTTCACGTATACCTACTTATGACTTTTCATTAATAGACTTTTAATTTTTTGATTTTTAATTTTATTTTTTACCCCCACAGACACTATGGTGACTTATGCTTCAGTCCATCTGATTAATGCTGGCAAAGACTAAAAATTATTAAAATTAAAAATGTTTATTCAAAATTCACAAATAAGTGTAGAAGAAGTGAAAGTAATTAGCCTTTTCAGGTGTTCCTATTTGTAAGTTTATAGTATGAAAAAAAAAGATATGAAAATATTAAAATTTAAAACTACACTAAAATATTTGGAAAATGCAGAATAGTAAAGGATCAAACATTATATGGTTGAATCTTCATCTGAATGTTGAAATCTACTGCCTATCAGAGGTTTTGTTTCAGTTCTATTCTGACATTACTGTAGGAATGCCTTTGGCTGCATGTAAAAGAAAACAGTGCTTTTTAAAAAGAATAATTTGTTTTTGCATAACTAGAAGTCTGGAGTTAGGCAGCTGCTGATGTTGGTTTAATGGTTCATTAATGCCAGGGTGGTTCAGCCCTCCTCCACAATTCCAAGATGGCTTCCATAGCTCCAGGCTACACCTTCAAAGGGTAGGGTTAAGGTAGTAACACTGGCTGCTTGTGACTAATATTTTTATCAGAAAAATGTATGCTTCTCCCAGCATATGTTCACTTAGGTTTCATTAGCTAAAACTATATCATGCAGCCACCCTCTAGTTACAAAAGTTACTAGGATAGGATATAAGTATTTGACTTCTCTGTCTTCTATTTTGTTGATAGAAAAGAGAGTAAAGTCAGGCATGTATTTGCTAGCCAAACAAGTTCCTGTTATCCTTAATTTTTGTCCCATCTACTCTATTAAGTGTGAAGTCAACTACTTCTGAAACTAATGGGTCTTTTAATTGTTAGATAATATTCTCTTTTCTTCTAAGAGAATACAAAGTTTTTAGGGAACCAGAACTTTTAAGGCTTTTTCTTAATAATAAAGATTGTAGTCAACAAATATGCTTTCTCAATTCAGGGAGAAAAATGATGAAACCAATTCCATCGAACCAGTGTGGTAAGAGCCATTAATAAAGGCTTTGAAATTGTATTCCACGTGGAATGGGAAACTGAAGGACTTTGGGCAGAGTAAAAAATATGACAAGTTTTGTATTTTTTAAAGGTTTTGTGGAAAAATGAGTTGGTGAGGAACAAGACAAACACAAAGAGGAATTTCTTACAAGAATATGCCAAGTATTCCATAGTCTCTTTCTTTATTGGAAATAGGGAAATTAGTTGAGATTACTGCATTATCCAGGTAAATATTGTTCAGACTAGAGTGATAGTTGTGGATAGGGAAAGAGGTGAACAGATACTCTGGAGACAGAATTGACAGGACTTACTGAAAGGTTGGAAGTGATTGTGAGGAAGAGGCAAGAAGGAGAGCTGACCCCAGAGTTTCTGGCTAGAGAAGAAGATCAGAACAGTCCTGAGAAGGGAGATCAAGAATTTAATTCTGAAAAGGGGAACTAGAAGAAATCACCCATGTACACTTTTGCACTTATATGGCAAGACTGGAGTACAGAGGAGATTGGCACGAACCCTTAGCATGAATGATACATACATTTACAAAATGTTTCATAATTTTAATCACATTCCTAAAAAGTATAAAGAAAAAACAAACTAAAATATTATTACTATGAAAGATTAATGGAGTAAAATCAAGTGTACTACTTCATACAGTAAAGCAAATTAATATAATCCTCTTATGGAAGAGCAGAATGACAAATTTTTTTAAAAATTTTAAAGGATTTTAAAAAGTTATCGATTATTTTCAATAATCATAATGCTATAAATAAAATTAGAAAACATGGAGATGGTCAAAGGGATGCTAAAACATTCAAATTAAAAAATCAGGAGTTGCAGTAACATCATTCAGGGTGAAATACAAGGATAAGGAACTTAGTAGGACCAAAAGACAATATGTATGATTAAAAGCATTGTTATGAAGAAAATATAGCAGTTATAAGTTCATGCATCAAACAACATGGTCACTCAACTCAGGTTAAGTGAATATCAGAAATATTTATCACAAAAATATGATAAAATACCTTTATGCTTTCATGCTGAGACTTTAATATACCTCTTTCAGAATCTCACATACCTAGAAGATAAATAAACAATGTCAATTATTAATAATACTATTAAAAATCTTCATTTTACGTTGGTTAAGATTGAGATATCTCCATATGGAGATGTTGGGTAGGCAGCCCAGGGCTCAGAACAGCACATTACAATACAACATATAATGCTTTAATGTCTACATATAATTTACAAGGGGAGGTAATAAGTTCTTTTAGTATCTCAAAACCTCCATAAATTAAGGGCTGACATTTCTCTGACCAGACCTTACTTTGTTTAGCTCCATTACAGTGGGATAAAAGTTGTAGACATTAAGAGATAGAGACTATTCACAAAGGTTTTACTACTTCTTTATTGCCTGATAAAGAAAATCCTAAGCGAAAGCCAGATACTACATGTACTACTTATAGTCCTCTGGCAAATGTGATAATTCTTCAAAAGTTCAAGTAGCCTGAACAGCATATTTATCTAGCTTACTTGGTCTTTGGGCAAAAACAGAGGGCCTCACCTGCAACTCAGACAAGTTTATGGGGCATTACCAAGCAATTATTTCAATGGGGTAATATGTTCTATCTTGTTTTATTACTTTCCTTGGAGCAGAAACCAAGGTCCCAAGTGACATCCAATTATAGTTCTTAGTTCATTTGAGGTAGGTTAAATGGTGACATTGAGTCACGAGTCACAACATCCTTAACCTCATTTGAACACCAAAAGACAAGATTTTTTTCCTATTCTCCAAAAGAAGCGTCAAGCAGCAAATATAATTGCTAGACAGGGAGAGATTTCTTACATGAATTTGCAATATATGTAATTTGTCTTCTTTCATTGTTACAATATGTATAATTTATCTTGTGGGAAATGAATAGGTCAAGGGCACAGCAGTCTTTTTGCAGCTTGATTATTAGTCACAGCTTATTAACACCATATTCTTCCTAAGAGAAATAAGAAATGCCACAGCATTGTGATATCAGAGAGTCTCAAGAGGGACTCCCATAACACTGAGACACTGATTCTGTCAGATGATTCTACACATATATATTTAAAGTATAAACATGTAGTTTGCTTTCCTAGCCTATTAAAATATATTGAGGAGACTATGCTATACTTCATTCCAATCCATCCAACTTTCTAGTAATAAGAAGTTCTCTTAAATGAATGGAAGATCTATAAGCAAAAGAAGTGGTTTTGAAACCTCAGCATGTTTCGGGGAAAGTCTCTTTCAAGGCCGCCTCTACATCATTGATTGGATTTAGATTACTAAATGTATTCAATATGATGTGTTTTTGGAAAGTTGTACTTCAAAGTCAGATTCTAGTGGAGCCCAGCTCATCAACAACGTATTCACTACTTGAATGATGCAATGACTATGGTAATAATCTGTTTGCCTTATTACAATGAAGATCAAAGACATTAGCTTTTTAAAAAAATTATGGTGGAAATACTCATTAATTCAACAAAAAGTTTTTTTGCTCCTACCATATGCCAGACACCATTCTAGGCACTGAAAATATGGCAATGAATATGGCAAGAAAACATGGCAAGAAAGTCCTTGCCCTTATGGAGCTTATGTTATTTTGACAAACGGACATGAAGAGTAAAGATGGAAAAGGAAACTGAAGAGGTAGATATTTACGAACAGGAGAGGCAAAAACAAATGGTGGCTTGAGGCATGTCCAAGTAAAGTCAGAGGAATAAGAGGGAAAGTAGTAGTTAAGGCTTTCCTAACAGCTAAAGAATAAGAGAGCCTTAGGAAGAGTTAAACGAGCTTAGACAGAAACATATCTGGCTTCCCATTGTTTTCACTTCACCATACAGATGGTAAGATCAAAATGGGGGGAGAGGGAGACTAAATCTACAATAGCAATCATCTAATAAACTATAGAGGCCATTTTGAAGAATAAGGTTAAATTAATAAAAATTAGATTAGCCCAACTAGGTATATTAAAATATAAACATAGATCATCTAGTCATCATCATCTTTAAACAGAAATAATTGCTTCTGTCCATGCTATCATTGGAGAAATATCTCCCCACTTTCCATCCCTTTTTTCTTCTTCCCACCCATATACCTTTCTCTTCTGAAAAACCCAAATAGGAGATAAAATCATTTCTTTTGAGCTCGTTCTCTGATCTCCTCTTGCACACATGCTTATACTTTCTGAGGAGCATGCTGGTTGGAAGATGAAAACTGTCCAGAAGCTGGAATGTACTGACTGGATATAAAAAAAAGCACAGAGGTGTTTGAAAATTATTCTTCTCTATGACTATTTATATCAGCAAATTTAGAGCCTGAAATTTTTTACTTCAGAGAAGATCTAGACACTGGATTCTCCTTTTTATTTCTTAGGTGTTCTTAACCTTAAAATTCTTGATTATGGACAGAGAAAACAGAAGTTTATGAAATTCTTCTCTTTCCCAATTTTTAAAGAGATGCTAGGGCAACAAACTTTGGGTTTCTAATTCTACTCTTCAGTATATTGTTTTATGGAAACCCTGCTTAGGGGTTATATTTAGAAAATAAACACTTTTAAAGGTATTTAAGTTTAAAACAAGAACCCTGCCTTAAAGAAAAAGATTAATATGTTTTTGCAATGCACATACTTTAACACAATTTTGATCCAAAATATCATGTTAACAGGATATATTGTTTCACTTATTTGTTAGGTCAGTGTGCCATCGTGATGCTGCCTCAGTGGCCATGAAATATTTTGCTTACAGTTGTCATAGGTATCTCTAAGGAAACAAAGTGGGGGAAAAATTATTATTTGTCCCAAAATATGTGAGACTTAAAAATTTAGAATTTTGGATTTTCCTCTGCCTCAGATAAATCAAAATGTGCTCGACATATGAGGGTCCACTGTTGACCAAACAAGAAGAATACTCTAGTGCAATATATTGTTTAGAGTAGTGGTCCTAGAACTTCTTTCCATTCCAGGGTTGGGGAATCACAGCTATAGTGCCATCTGTAATGTGAGAGCTTGTTTATGCCCATGCCCCCTGTTGGTAGCTAGTTTTTTATGAGTATTGTGCACATGCTTCTTACCGTCACATTTCAAACTGCCCCTGCCCCACCTTTATCCTGTCTTATAATACAAGTGGAACACATAAAGAAATATTCACAAAATAGCAAGTAGATGAAGTTGGCCTCAGCAGTTGGCAATTACCAAAACAAAGTCAAGGAAAGGGGAAAGGGGGTACTCAGAGCCAGCCAAACTGTGATGTTTGAGGGCATGGTCCTCAAAACATCCAATTTTGACATCAACTATAAGTTCGGGGGTGCCCCATATGACCCTCAAATTTGATAATTTGCTAAAGGGACTCGCAGAGCTTACTGGAAGCTATTATACTCACAGATACAGTTTGTTATAGGGAAAGAACACAGATCAAAATCAGCCAAAGGAAGAGATACGTAGAGTCTGGGAGAGTTCCTAGCAAGCAGCTTTTGTTGTCCTCTGTGGGGCTAGAACAGGTGACCCTCCCGGGATTGAGTGTGACAGTACACAAGAAATATTGCCAACCACAGAAGCTCACCCAAGCTCAGTGTCCAGAGTTTTTATTGGAGCTTCATTATGTAGACATGATTGATTGATTGATTGCCCTTCTGGTTGAACTCAGCCTCCAGGTCAACTGATACTACCTGTCCCAAAGACCCTACCTTAAATCACATGGTGGTTCTTTCTGATGTGACCAGCCCCTGCCCAAACAAAGAGACTCATAAGAGGTCATGACATAAATTATCTCCCAGAAGCCTAAGGAAAAGGCCAGACCTATCTTTGGGCAAAGCCAAATTATTCACTACATAGAGAAAGGCCAAAAG
Source organism: Homo sapiens (assembly GCF_000001405.40). Taxonomy (NCBI): domain Eukaryota; kingdom Metazoa; phylum Chordata; class Mammalia; order Primates; family Hominidae; genus Homo; species Homo sapiens. The sequence continues at coordinate 153,734,603 of NC_000003.12, forward strand.
TGACTACTCATAGAGGCACTCAATAAATATAATTGAGATGGTCCTCTGTGCTATGAAGGAAAACATGGTGACACAGAGATTTGAAACCTATATCACTTTAATTTTTCTTGGCTGAGATTATGATTTTGTGATAGGTAAATTTGAAATATTTGAAAAAACAAAGCACATTTCTAAGATTATTTCAGCAAGAACACTATGATTCTCAAAAGAACTGGCAATAGTGACTATGTTGGGAGTGGAGCTTCCCTAAGGCCACTCCCAGGTTTAATAATTCACCAGAAAAACTCACAGGACTTAGTGTATAGTCATACTCATGACTAAGGTTTATTGTAGCAGAAGAATTTAGGGCAAGACCAACAAAAAGAAAGGGCACATGGGCAAAGTTCAGGAAAAAATAGGTGCAATCTTACAAGAGTCCTATCCCAGTGAAGTTGCATAAGATGCATTTAATTCCCCTCCTCTGTGAACTGTGACAACATATGTGAAATGTTGCTAACTAGGGAACTTTGTTAGAGCCTTAGCACCCAGAATTTTGTTGGAGAGCTGGTCACATAGGCATTAAATTAAATTAAATTTGGCCCAAGCCTGCCTCTGTACCTTGAGTCTCTATGTACCAACTGCAACCTAGTTTACTACTTAAACTGAAAGCCTAACTTGAGAGTATATTCTTGTAACAAATAGCTGAATCTTAGCCAATCACAGCAGCCAAGCTCAGTGAATTACAGCCTGCCAACTTATCACAACATGCCCATATAAGGCAGATACCTTGCTGTAGCGATCAAATGAATTCTCTAGTTTTCTTCTGTGTCTGGTCTACAAAAGCTCACTGCTCACACTACTGAGTGGAGCTCTCTGAACCTTTACTGGTTCAGGGTACTGCCTGATTCATATATCATTCTTTGCTCAAATAAACTCTGCTAAATTTAATTCCTCTAAAGCTTTTATTTTAACATAGATAATATCTACCAGGCACAGATCAAAATTCCAGACTCCCAGAACAAAAGCAAATGTTCAGTACAAATGAATTGTTTGAACAAACAGTTTAGCCATAGTGAGCTACTCTTATGTGTTTTGGGAATGGTGGGAATCCTCTTGAAATCCAAGTTCCCAGACACCAGTGAAGGGCCAACCTTATAAACAGACCTTTCAAAAGATAGCACTTAGTTCATTTCTGCATAGTGGTACAGCCAAAGTCTCAGGGAGTGAAGAAATACAAGAATGTCATATTCAGAGCCAAACACTAGGGTCAGTGGGGAAACGTGCCCCAGCAACTGCTTCAGTGGGAAATTTATACTGTCCATAGCCAGAGATTTGGGAATTCCAGAGAGTATTTTACATCCTCACATAATTTATAGGTCGGCTTTCAGTGAAAGAAGGTGTTAAAATGAACCTCTATTTGTCTCACTTTGATTTCCCTAAAACAATAGGTGTGACCTCTCCTATATTCCAAAGTGAGTTGCTAGGCCAACCATATAAGACATGCAAAGAAGGTGGATCAAAAACAGTTAAATAATCCTTAGCTTTCTCCCCAGCCCCTGAAATGTTTGAAACTGAAGTTTCAAACTCATGGATAAGGACATCCATTATTCTACATGGATAAAGACATCCATATGTGTGACACACTCCTGTGAGTAGGTTATGTCTAATCCCCATGTGTCAGTGGATATTTTAACCTTCTTTTCCCTACTCAAAACAACATATTGGAATGCAAGTAAGTGAGAATGACATTTCTGTAAGCCAATCTTGAATCATCTAAATTTTTTAAACAGTAAATACCTTTAAAACTTTAAAAAAATGATTATTAGTGCAAAATGCATGATTGATTGCAAATGAGCATTATGTTGAGAATCACTCGGTAGTGAGCAATAGGAAAGCTTTCAACATCTTTGGAGTCGATACAATCAGGAGTATGCTCCAGAAGCTACATTTGGTAGGTGGGAGATGGGAGGCAGGGAAACTGGTGGTAACAGTCTTAGTGGAAATCATGAGATAGTGGCAGTAAACATACATAGGGGATGATGGTGGGAGTAACACAAGTAGAAATAGGATGAAGATACCGGTGATGAATGAAAAATGAAAGAGACTAGTTTAAAATAATCCTGAAGTTTTAGGGGGTGGGGCCAAGAGGGCCAACTAGAAACAGTGGTATTTGGAAGCTCCCATCGAAAGAACCGTAGTAAGTGTGTGAATCCTTCACCGGCAACCAAGGTAGCCAGGTTCTCTCATCAGAACTGACTAGGAGGCTGGCATGATCCACAGAGAGGAAGGAAGCACACAATTGCTACAAAGAGAATAAAATATCTAGGAATACAGCTAACAAGGGATGTGAAGGACCTCTTCAAGGAGAACTACAAACCACTGCTCAAGGAAATAAGAGAGGACACAAACAAATGGAACATGGATAGGAAGAATCAATATCATGAAAATGGCCTTACTGCCCAAAGTAATTTATAGATTTAATGCTATTCCCATAAAACTACCATTGACATTCTTCACAGAATTAGAAAAAACTACTTTAAATTTCATATGGAACCAAAGAAGACCACTTATAGCCAAGACAATCCTAAGTAAAAAGAACAAATCTGGAGGCATCACACTGACTTCAAACAGTACTACAAGGCTACAGTAACCAAAACAGCATGGTACTGGTACCAAAATAGACATAATAGACCAATGGAACAGAACAGAGGCCTCAGAAATAACATCACACATCAACAACCATCTGATCTTTAACAAACCTGACAAAAACAAGCAATGGGAAAAGGATCTCCTATTCAATAAATGGTGCTGGGAAAACTGGCTAGCCATATGCAGAAAACAGAAACTGGACCCTTTCCTTATACCTTATACAAAAATTAACTCAAGATGGATTAAAGACTTAAATGTAAAAATCTAAAACATAAAAGCCCTAAAAGAAAAACTAGGTAATACCATTCAGGATATAGGCATGGGCAAAGACTTCATGATGAAAATGCCAAAAGCAACCACAACGAAAGCCAAAATTGACAAATGGGATCCAATTAAACTAAAGAGCTCTGCACAGCAAAAGAAACTATCATCAGGGTGAACAAGCAACCTACAGAATGGGAGATAATTTTTGCAATCCACCCATGTGACAAAGTTCTAATATCCAGTATCTACAAGGAACTTAAACAAATTTACAAGAAAAAAAAACATCAAAAAGTGGGCAAAGGATATGAACAGACACTTCTCAAAATAAGATATTTACATGGCCAACAAACATGAAAAAAGCTCAACATCACTGACCATCAGAGAAATGCAAATCAAAATCACAATGAGATACCATCTCACACCAGTCAGAATGGCAATTATGAAAAATTCAAGAAACAATAGATGTTGGCGAGGCTGTGGAGAAATAGGAATGCTTTTACACTGTAGGTGGGAATGTAAATTAGTTCAACCATTTTAGAAGACAGTGTGGTGATTCCTCAAGGATCTAGAACCAGAAATATAATTTGACCCAGCAATCCCATTATGATTATATACCCAAAGGAATATAAATCATTCTACTATAAAGACACATGCACAGGTATATTTACTGCAGCACTATTTACAATAGCAAAGACTTGGAACCAACCCAAATGCCCATCCATGATAGACTGGATAAAGAAAATGTGGCACATATACACCATGGAATACTATGCAGTCATAAAAGTGAATGAGATCATGTCCTTTGCAGGGACATGGATGAAGCTGGATGCCAATCATCCTCAGCACACTAACACAGGAACAAAAAACCAAACACCACATGTTCTCACTCATAAGTGGGAGTTGAACAATGAGAACACATGGACACAGACAGCAAAACAACACACACCAGTGCCTGTCGGGGGTGAGGGGAGGGAACTTAGACGACGGGTCAATAGGTGCACCAAACCACCATGGCACACGTATACATAGGTAACAAACCTGCACGTTCTGCACAAGTACCCTGCTTTTTTTTTAGAAGAAATAAAGAAAAAAATAAAAATAAAAATTTTAAGCATGGGTTTCTAAAAAAGTTCAGAATAAAGATCAAGTTTTAGAAGAGAAATGAATTCCATTTAAAGCAAATGAAATGTGTGATACCAGTGGGATCCCCAAATATGGATGTGCAGCTTGCAGTTAGGAGTGTGAGAGATGTGCAGAAGATGGATTGGAGGCGGACAGTTATTATTTGGGTGTTATCCACATACAGGCAATAAGGTTGATGGGTGTTTCTTTTTCTTTTTTTTCTTTTTTTTTTTTTCTGAGACGGAGTCTCTCTATGTCGCCCAGGCTGGAGTGCAGTGGCGCGATCTCGGCTCACTGCAAGCTCCGCCTCCTGGGTTCACGCCATTCTCCCGCCTCAGCCTCCCGAATAGCTGGGACTACAGGCGCCCGCCCCAATGCCCGGCTAATTTTTTGTATTTTTAGTAGAGACGGGGTTTCACCATGTTAGCCAGGATGGTCTCAATCTCCTGACCTCGTGATCCGCCCACCTCGGCCTCCCAAAGTGCTGGGATTACAGGCGTGAGCCACCGCGCCTGGCCGGTTGATGGGTGTTTCTAAGTGCCTTGTCAGAAAATGAGTTTTCTAGTTGTTGACATTATTTAACTATTTCATTATCTATATTTGTGTTTTTAAAAGAAAATGTGTCTATAAACTGTAAAAATCTTAATAAATTCTTAAAACAAAAAGTTTAAGTAATCATTCCTGTTAGATGGTAGATCTCTTAGGTTAGTGAAAGGACTCTTGAGAAGAAGCCAAATTTTAAACTTACTTTTGTTGTTAGAGTGTTCATATTAAAAATAATGTGTATGTACACACAGACAGACAGACACACACACACATACACACACACATATATTTAGGTAGAAGTAACAGAAGAGGCTTTGCAAATACTACTTAGGATAAAGGAAAGATATGATAGTGAATTTTATGTAAAAGTGATGGTTTGTTCACTGACTCTGTTCAGTTCTACTTTTCCTCATGGAGCTTTCATCTTTTTTCAGTCTTCATTCCTACACAAGGTATCCAAGTTCCTGCCCTCTGCCCAGGCACCTTACAAGTGGCTAGAATTATGGTGGTGTTTCCATAGAGACAACAAGGGAACAGTTCTTCCTTCCTTTCCTCTGTGAGTTGTTTGCACATAAGGATCTTCCAGTTTTTAAAACTCGTTCTTGCTTTGAAAATGGGCAGAGGAGAGGAAAAACTGTGCTTGGTGTACCAACGACAGGAAGAATGAGGAGGGAATGTTCATATTCCTTCCAGGCCACACTCGTAGCATGTCTATTTCTTTTCTTACAATAAAAGATGTTAGGCAGGTTTATTTGTTTGTTTGTTTTTCCCACTTGAAAGATCTTTAAAAGTAGGAATTATATCTTACCCAAGTCAACTAGTGTTTAGTGAGTGAGTACATCAGTGAAAGAATGAACAGAAAATGTACTTTTATTCTTGGGAGAGAAAGATGTTTGAATAGAACTTTTTCTGTTCATAACTTTTGAATACACATTCTGTCACTTTACTCAATGGAATTGCATGAAGTAATTTTTGAGATACAAAAACTAAGATAATTGTGAAGTTAAGATGTGAATCCAAGTCTTCTTACTCCAATTAATTGCCAATTTTTACTCTATTACACTGCGGCTCTGGGAGAATGAGAGCAATTAGAACAATGATGTCCTGGGCTAGAGAACAAGGATGTTTATTCAATGACACGTGTAGATTAGGCCAATAAAAGGCAGGTAAAGCCAGTGTAACTAGCAGCCCATTCAGCTAAACCCCATGAAGTGTTTCCAGACCCTGTCCCCAGTCACTTGTGGTTTCTCCACTCTCTTCTTTTGTTTAATGCAGCTGATCACTGATGTATTGATTTGCTTATTACTTGTTTCCCCTGGCTACAACTTAAGCTCCAAGAGAACAGGGACTAGTCAACTTTGTTCACTGCTGTCTTCCCTGGTGTGTAGAGCAGTGCTTGGCAATAGCTGTCCTTCAATAAATACTTTTTGAGTGTACGAATGTATAATTTTAGAACACTCATTGTTCTATTCTTTAAGTATACTTTCCTTAATAATTTATCTGTGAGAATGAGGGCAAATTTATATAGAAAAATTAAGAAATAATACCAGAAGCAATCTGGTATTGATATTTTTATCAATTTTTTCTTCCCTACGTAAAGTACACTCCACTTGTTTCTGCTGAATGTAGTCTACATTTTAACTACTTTTTTAAAAAAAATAGCGCAGAAGTTATGATTTTAATATACATTTCTAAGTCACTAGCTCCCAAATTGGAGTCATTGACAAATTTAATCTTATTTAGTCAACTATGACCTAATTCCATGAGGACCAAGGCCATTGGAAAGACCCTTTTTTGATTAACGCAGAAATTTCATGAGATGATTTTCCCATAACAAAATCAATAAAGTATTTCAATCTTCGCCTGTAAAATATAGTACCTTTGCTGTTTAGCCAGAGAAAATACAATCTTAGTTTTAAAGACTTCTTTAAGCATCGCAACAATTTTGCTGTTCTTGGAAGAACTTTATCAATATTTCACATGATATTCTTCTCTGCAGGAGAACCTAAGAAAAATATTCGATTAATCATTGTGATATTAAAACTATCTGTCACTTGTAGCATGCATATGTAATAAAGTACTCAAGATAAAATTGATATCAGAGACAAATGGCCCACATTAAAAATGTCTGCTTGAAGCTCTAAAATTGTTCCTTCTTATGATGATCTCAATAACTAAACCTCTCAATTTGCAAATGAAGATAAATGCTAAGATAATTTTTTAAACTAGAAATCGTGAAGTAAAATAAAGAGAGAACTAAAGTGGCTAACAATGAAACACCTGTAATAAATGTTTACAAACTTGTTGAGACACATTAATCTTCATCTCCTTGTTATTTTCTTAGACATTTACTTCAAATTATCTGTAATTCTATTTAAAATGAAACTAATCGAAGCATGTGAACTTAAGCAAGTATTTTTAATGTATTTGGGTTTTTTTTTAAACGTACATCTGAAGAGTTAGACTAGAATCAGTATGTCCTGTCAGATAATCCATTAAAAATTTGGGGAGGAGGAGAAGGCCGAGGATAAAATTAAAGAATGCTACATGACAAAACACTTCTATTTGCCTCCCAATATCCATCCCCCACAACTTCCTCACCAGCAAAATCCTGATTTGGTTCAGAGTGACAAAATGTCCCTGGTTTAAAATCTCACTTCCACATAATTTTGGACTTTCTGAAACATGGGTTTCTGAAAAAGTTCAGAAGAAGGATCAAGTAACTGAGTTCTGGCTATGAAATTTAAGCAAAAACCTTCTGGGTGAAATCCCTACATAAGCAATTGTAACACAGTGGCAATAGATGTGGGAGTCTTCCTAAGAACTTTAGGTTGAAAGTCACCTAAAACATTAGCTGAGCAGGAAAATGGAAAGAGCTCAGGATATGACCACTTAATCAAGCTGTTGAACCAGCCCTGAATTATTTTTCCCTGGACTTCCGTTCATAGGGTAAAGAAAACAAAATCTCTCTTTGGGTAAGCCAGTGTAATTGAGTTTCTCTTCCATGCAGCTGAACCAGTCTTTGGTTCATAAAGTCCCTCCTTTGGTCATGTATATCTTTATTTACATAATAAACACTCTGAAAAGCCCCTACAATATGAACACCCATTTAATTTTATTTAATACTAATTTATCAAAGATATTTGATTATGAGATACCTGATATTTCTCTATGAACTTGCAACCTAATGACCACACTTCAGTAAACATTTAACTAGAGATTTCACAAAGCAAAAAATTAGCGTTCTGTAATTACATAATTAAATATCTAAAAGGCTATGTTCATAGTCATAATTGTTTCTGAATCTCATATTTCTTAGGGAGCATTGTTACCAGTGACAATTATTAACATAAGCCATTACTCAAAGAGTTAGCATCCTTTGAGGAGCTTAAGCAAAATCTCTGAAAATTATCTTTCTTCTTTACTATAATTCATTCAAGGTAACAGTTTGTTGAAACTTAGTGCAGGTGATGATCTATCTAATTCTTAAAGAAACATAAGCAAGACAGAATGACACAGCTTTTCTTTTTCTTTGGAGTTTATGTCCCCCAACTTCTAATATTATGAGCACTTGGTCACCATTCTCTCTTACTGGTATTTGAGCCACCTCTCTTTTTTCTCTACCCTACAATAAGGAGAGAAAAGCACTCAAATTTTCTTTCATGAGCCACCTCTCCTTTTTCTCTACCTTACAATAAGCAGAGAAAAGCACTCAAATTTTCTTTCATATACATGAAGGAATTTACATTAATGCATCAGCAGTGAATGTGACAAACTAATAGACTAAGGTACTCAACAAATGAAATGCTTAGACCATACTAACATATTTCAAATAAGTATCTGCATCTAAAAGGGCAGGTTGTCTTCACCATTTATAGCATACTTCCTGTTTTCAGAGTTGCATATTAAGCATAGATGAGTCTAAAAGGGGGTAGATTCTTTGACTCTAATCCTATATTCTAAATGAAGAGGAAGTGTACGCCGAAAAATTATTGATGAAAATGGTGCTTCATCATTTATGTTTAGAAATGAATTGTAAATTTCTAATTTTACAATAATAGATTTTTAAAGGAGAAATTATATTTAGACCATTATCCTTTCAGTATGGTTACATTTTGACACAGAATTAGACTAGAAATAGAGTAATTGTCAGGGTGATTCTGAGAATATCTTGGTGTTTATTACTCAGGCTGTCTTTTAGGCTAGACTGCAAAAGCAGGTTTCTAAGCCAAGCAGTTTGCAATATAAGAGTAAGTAAAACCTAAAAGAGTAAAAACAATGTGCAAGCACAAGTCATTCACTACAATGGTTCTAGTTTCTGCAATAATGGCAGATGTGGGCTAATCATTGGGGCAACAATAGGAAATTGCACCAATGTTTCATGAAAGATTCCAGAGAGTGACCTTGATGTAGATGTCAGGGTCCTTGATGTGGAACTTCAGCATAGACCAGGAACAACAGCAGAATCTTTAGTAGGCATGGTTAGCAATGTTGTTGCTTTGGTGTTAGCAACTAGAGGAATTAGCACCAACACTATTATAAGGAAAAGGGAGGAAAAGGATGCATGGGTCATTCAAGACAATCCATCTGTGCATATGTTGAGAATCCAAAATGGGCTAGAGTTTTTAGAAGAATATGGATTTGTTACATTATTTTTACTTTAAAACCACTACGGTATAAAAACAAAATGTGAGTAATGACCCCAAAGAAGCAATAGCATAGGCAAAAATAATTTTCAAACAAAATAGATTTTGGTGGCTTGGGAACCTTGTAAAAGAAGACTATATGAGATTGTGGTGAATTCAAATAGTCTAAAGGAGTTGGGCAGACAGTAGAAAAGCAGCTATAAATGGAGAGGGGTAAAGAAGAGGAGTCAATCCTGTGTATAACAAAGCTGGGGGAGCAGAAGGAAACATATCAGAAACATGAACCCATTAAAAGTTTCCCATCACTGGTAAAGTTATGATCAAGTGATCAAAAGCACATGTATGTTTATATGGCACTTTCTTTGAACTAGCACTGTACTAAGCACTACAGGGGTACAAAGAAATGACTGGTACTTTTCCTTCTAGTCTTGCAGGTGATAGCTGAGGTTGGTGATGGGGTTCTTAGGAACATACAGACAAAAATGAGTGATAAAGTAGGGCAGATTACAAAGAAGGAGTAAAAATAGAAAAAATCTTATCACAGTAAGGTCAGGAAAAAATGAACTTCAAAAGATAGGAAAGATAAAGTGTTCTTGAAATATATAGGCCTCAAATATATATAGTTGGGTTTTGTGTTGTTATTAAATATGGGCACCCTTTTAGCCCCTTTTACTCTCTATCTAATTGAAAGCATTATCGAGCCACTGTATATTCTATAAAATATATTTTTAGAATGAAAAAGTATCCAACAATTGGAGAAAACCTAAATTAGTAACCTTTTGAAAACCTAAGACAACATATTTAATATGAAAAATACAAACTGGTGAAACAAACTCACACAGCATAAAAGTCTTGAGGGACAAAAATGTAAAACCACAAAAAAAAATTTAACATCAATGAAGAGGACAGAATCCCAGGTAAAGATTTATTTTGAAAATCCTGACAGTCTAAATGAGTTGCCCTCTACAGAAGTGTCTTTTTGGTTTTTACAAGTTTAATCATTTATTTTAAATTCAGAAAATATATTTTTAGTCCCTTTAAAACTAGATTGGTTACCACCAGAATGATACGGAAAAAATGTTCTTGGTCATAGGATGGTGAAACTAAATAATAATTTCAAGCATAATTAACGGTGTTTTAATATTGTTATACATAGTATATGTCAGATTCATTACCTCCTTTGCATTTATAATAAGCATTTAAATAGGCAGCTCCATAGTTCCTATAGGAGGAGCAGGAATTTGAACCAAGCAGAATCCTGAACCACAGGAATCTGGAAGGCACTGTCTCATACCCTCAAATAGGCTCATCGTCACAGAGTCAAATTTACTTGTAATTCAAACAAGTCCTTCCTCTAAAAACATAGGTTTATTTCTAAAAACCTCCCCAATTTTCCCTCTGCAAACTGCTGCTTCAGATATTATTTTTATAGGATTTTATTCGTGGGCAGATCCCTGATGATGCTGGAAAAAAAACCCACTTCTCAGCAAATTTGAGTATTTAACATTAGCTCATCATAAAAGATTTGTGGAGAATCTTTATGCATCAGAATAAAACCCTTTGTAACCAAGAATCTTTATAAACACCGTGGAAGTCTGAGTCCAGCATGGTTAATTACTGAGAAGATTTTCCCATTGTTAGCCATATCAGGCAGGATTACATTAGATTCTTAATTTGTTTCACTTTCATAATCTCTTTAGAGCTTTCTAGATATCATTCTCCTTTGTTAAATGAACAAATGGATTTGGGTTATTATGTAGGAGCTTATGCTTTGTAAGTGTACGTTGTGATGTTTCCTATCACAGAGGGCTTATGTGTTTAAGAATAGAAATAATGTTATTTACACAAAATTAATTCAACTTTATAATGGTTTTCCAATGCTTTTGGATAACACTATGAAAATTGTGTTTTAAAAATCACATCTTTATCCTCCTGTTTAACACAAAGAAATGGTACTATACTAGAAAATAAAGAGAATATGAAATGTAAAGAAAAATTTACTTTTAATAAACCTAGAAGATGCATTTATGAGTTAGAATAACAATAATATGAGCAAATTCAGAGAATATTGTAATTCAGAGAATTCTCATTCAGAGAATTTATTATTTCCATCAATATAATGGAAATAATCAGAGGAAGATGGCTATGGTTGCAGAGTTCAGACTAATCTGGCAATATTTCCAAAGTAGGCAATGCAATGTAACATCCCTTGATTGAAGCATCAGGATGTGTGGGCTAAGCATGGGAGCTTCTATGAACCAATATGGCAATAACAAATCAGGGCATTTAAGGCTGAAAAACTATCCTAATGACATGCTGTATTTTCAGAAAGCATTTAGTCGGTGGGACAGAGCAAAAGATCACAACATAAATGTAGGGATACCTGCAGTTGCTTATTTATGACACATGAATAAGGAAAGAAATAGAAAACTCAAACAGCAAAGAACATTAACCAAAATAATTTTGCCACAGAATAGATAACCAAAAATATTGTCATAAATAAAAAAAACTTAATGAAATTATTGTCTATATAAAGCAATCACTCAAAAAAAAGGTCCAAAGGTCATGAAATATGAGAGTTTACAGCCAAAGGCGGGAGATATGAACTGAAACAACTTAGGAAAGTGGAATAGAAAGTAAGATCGCTATAGAAATGCAGGACACATTAGCAGAATCACACAGTACAAAATGCTGCAAGGAACGTGGAGAATAATATTGAAAACAGCAAGCAAAATTAAATGGAAATGAAGTTAAAGAGACTAGAGAAAAAGTGATTACTATAGAAGGCAAACAAACCAATATACATATAAATTGTTCTCCTAAATGTGATAATGACAATGACAAAACACAACAAATATTTAAAAATATAATAAAGAAAACTTCTCAGAAATATACAACATTATAATGATACATCTAAAAACAGAAAGAACACAGCATGTGTTGGGGGAAAATGAATAGAGAATTATTGGTATTAAGATAATAAAGTAACTGGACTTCAAGATAAAGAAAGAGTATACTAATACTTTTTAATTGATACTGTAAATGTGTAAGTATAAAGATAACCATACTTATTAATGGTAAATCATCAGGCTAGTCTCTGAAAGTTTCACAGGAACACTAGAAGACCATGGAGTAACGTCTACAATGTTCTCAAAAGAAGAGAATGTGTGACAATAATTTTATACACACCCGAATTCTCATGCAACAGTGAGGGCAACAAACTTTTTAAACATGCAAGAACTCAGAATATAGAAGAGTAAATTTTAGCTACTCAAGAAATAAATGAAGACACAGTTATAAAAAAGACTGAATTAATGTGAATTTCCTTTAACTCTAAGACTAAGGCTAAACAATGATAAAGATGACAATTACTGAACAAAATGTGAAACTTAAAAATACTAAGAGAATTCTTTCACTTGCTTGGTCTCTTTCTCATATTTAGTAGAAGTATGTCTTCCATGTGTAGAAAATCCTTGAGTATACAGGGATACCTCAAAGATGAAGAAGCACTGAGATAATGTAAGCTTGAGTTATAAAGAAGTTATGTTCCATTTAGATTACCAGGAAAGGAAAGCCTGTGAGGCTCAGGTAAGAGGACCTTACAAAAATAAGAGCTATATATTTGTTTGTGTACTCTGTGTATTCTTTCTCAGAAACCGAAGCTGGTGACTGGTGTACAGGATAACACGACACCTCATATGCACTAGATTAGAGCACAACTTGATTAAGCATCAAGTACACTCTCCTATTGATTGTCTCCAGGGTTTAAGAGAAAATACACACCAGTTTACTAGTGCTCCAAAACTGAGAGGATCACTGGTTTCATAAAATGCATGGTAAAATATAACTGAATGTTTTAAAAAACTCACATCATTTCAAATATCAATTTTTGTTGGTCTTTAGTGTTTATGTTAGAAGTCACCAGAATAAGTATTTGCTGATTCTAGGCAAATTGAAAATGTCCTTGGTTTTGAAAATAAATTCACTCTGAGCACGTTTTTATGTATCAAGTTTCTATTTAACCATCACAGTTTGAATTCTGATTAATGTATGTTCATAATAATAACCTATGTGTATCAAGCATTTGCTATATGTCATAAATGCTATGTTCTAAGTGCTATATTCTAAGTGCTTTTTACATACTATCTAATTAAGTCTCTTTATTTCTTGGTGAGGTAGGTACTATTATTAAGCACATTTTAGAAAAGAGAAAAATGGAGTACACTGCACAGAAAAGAGTGGTACAAAGTCATAAATACTAATCCCTGAAACAGAAAACCTACATTCACATTCCACATCTGTCATTTAGTGCTGTTTTGAAGAAGTCATTTAGAATGAGGTTTCAGTAGTTTCGATTATAAAATAGTAATAATAGTAGTGATAGTAATAACAATGATAAAAAAAGTCTTACCTACTTTACAGTGTTGTTTTGAGGATAAACACATAATGTACCTGAAAATGCTTTAAATATAAAACATTATACCAATTTATGAATAATATTATTATTGTTATTATTATTAGGTGGTTAAAATTCTCCAGCTGGTCAGCTCAGGTATAATTAGCAACACTATGAATGGCTTTTATATCCTTAAACGTGACAGGGTTACACTGTTTTTCAATATAGCTAAAATTCAGTAGTTCTACAAATCATTTTTTTTTCTACAAAGTGAATCTAAAATTCTGGTTTATGAATGATCCATGGAAGGAGAGTTCAATCTCTCAAGGGATCTTTATCTCAAAAGTTTTAAGGACCACTGATAGTGGAATGAATTGCCTAAGCAGTTGTTGGAGGTATTTAAGTCACAAGGAGCTGCAGATTTTAAATGTATGTGCTAGCAAATTCATAGTTATGTTATCTCCATTATCTCTAGGTCCCTTGAACTTTCCCTCTTTTCTAAAATAAGTGCACCAACCTAAGAATGATGCCAAGCATAAATGATTCAGACTAATTAATTAGAAACTGTTTCTCATGGTTACAAATTGAGTACAAATTATTCCAGCAGTCGAGATAGAGCTTTGCAAATATTCCATATGTTTACAATTTGTAAGAGTTTTCTTCCTTCGTTTTAATAGTAAGCTGTTTTTACTCTTGTGTTCCTGAAGACACTTTGTTACGAGGATTTTACTTAAAATGAACTAATATTTCAGATACATTTTGCATATTTTATGTTTCAGTCCTCTTTCCTACTTATCCTTATTCTTCTCAAGCTGGCATTAAGGAGAAAATCATGCTTTCCTAGAGAAAAGCAACTTCAGTACAGAGGTTTCCAAAATTATTACTAACACAAAATTATTTTAATAACTGGCAGAGATAATTCCAGCATTGCCTGTCAAGCCTACAAACATTTAGAAATGATAAGCTGTAGAAGGGTGAGACTCAAGTCCCATTGTTCTGAAAGCTAAGCTTATCTCCTTTATTTGATACTAGCTTCACTTTATTATTTTATATCTCTACAGTTTTATGATTTCAATTATACAGCTTTGATGTATACTTTCCTTTCTCCTCTATTCTGGTGTATCTTATATGGGCATAAAATGCCCATGCAGGCACCCTTTAAATGGCTGACTGCCAGGACTGGTTTCCAAACTCTTGAATTCTTTTCTCATCTCATGCTTTGAATTTGGAAGTGAAATCCATTTGTTTCCACTTGTTCATTTGTTTTCTTTGGCCTGATGTAGCTCAAGTGCCATTAAGTGTTTCTATGATGTCTAAACATAACCGAAGAAGAGAAGTACAAGATATGTTACAAGAGGAGAGGGAGCAGTAATGTCATGGAATTTCAGAAAGCTATCACACACATGCTCAATATTTTCCTCTCTACTTTTGGCTATTTACCCTCAAATCCTTTTAGTGTATAGTCAATTCCACCTTCATTAATTGTATCTTACTTATTAATAGTTAAAATAAAAATTTAATATTAAAATGTCTGACCGAATAAAACTGTTGTCTTTATATTAGGGAAATTTCAAGCCTTTCTTGTTTTTCATTATAGATAATGATTTATCTGAGTTCTAGCCCATAAAATCTCCTAATCCTATTAAGGTGAGTCTTATTTAAAAATCTAAATATAAAAGTTACAGTAGATTGTTACATTGGAATTAATGTAACAATCTACTGATCTACTTACATTCTACTTACTGATCTACTTACAATCTACTGATTGTTACATTAATTCCAATGTAACAATCTACTGTAACTTTTATATTTAGATGGAATCTCCAATTCTTCACCCCTCCCTTCATCAACAACCTGCCATATGATGACTTCCCCCCAAAATAGGTGAAATACATTTCCATACCCCTGGATTTTGAATTAAGCTTATGACCTGCTTTCATCAATGGGATGTTAACAGTGATAACATATGTTGGACTTGAGAAGAAAGCACTTAAGCATCTGCCACAGCTCTTGCAGATGAACATAGCCAGGTTAGCTTGCTAGTGGTTGGAAGACATATGGAGTAGGACCGCATCAACAAAGTCATTCCAGCCAAGGTCATCCTCCATCAGATAAGACTTGCTCGTCACAAACATTTGAGTAGGCCAGAGAAGATCAGCAGAGCTATCTAGTCACTCTAGCTGCCTTCAGATGCAGGAGAAGCCCAGCTAAGAACACATGAGTAATTACTGTGAGACAAATAAATAATATATTGTTTTAAGCTTTTAAGGTGTTGTAGTTCTTTCCTATGCAATATTATTGTGGTGATAGATAACTGATATCTATGTGTATAGACACAAAATATACATATACATAAACATACACATACATGATTTTATAAATACTTAAAAATGTGTTGGAGGGTAAAAAATGTTTTTTTGGAATAGTTATGAGTAGCATTTAAATATATGTAAGCAATTTTATGGTATATTTTGAAACATCAATGTTACAGTCACAGAAATACACCATTTTTCCTAAAGGTACTCTACCTAAAACCCCTTTGTCTAAAAGGAGTTTTCCAAATACTGAAACCTCCTTTCAGTGTGTTTGTATATATTGAATGATCTCTTCTTTACTTTTTATATTTTGGGAGAAATTTAGCATTTTAATTATTTAGTTCTCAGGATACTTTTATCTTAATTGTATGTATCTAATAAATATTTAATTTGTAACACTTTGGGTAAGTTGGAAATATTTTGTTTCTTTATAGGTTTTATTTAATGTTTTATTCATTTTTAATATGTTAATAGCGAATTAGTCAGAAAAACCTCTTTTCAATAAAAAAGGTTAACAATCAATTTCTGCCAATAATATTGTCATTAATATAATCAATTATGGGATTTGCAATTTTGATGCAATTTAATTATAAGTTGTTCTATGAATTGTATTTTTAACCCAGTGTTTCTTTATAGAATAAATACCTTGAAAAACTTGTAACTCTCATTTGACATGCTGTAAACCTGAAACGTCTTTAACTCTTCAAAAATGGAATATTTCAAATTAAAGTCAAGTGTTTAAAAACAGATACAATGGGGGAAGTGATAAACAATGGCACTCTCATCTTCATAAAATGCTATACATTTGATAAACATGTAGTATAAATATTTTTAAATACGTTAAATGCGTTGGAGTGAACTGAAACTTAATTCTCTTTATCTTGTCCTGCTGCTATCCAAGTGGTCAAAGCAACAACTTGGGAATCAGAAAGAAGCAATTGTAGGCACGGTACCATTTATGTTCAGTTATTGACAGGAAATACTAAAATGTATAACAAAACAGAAGGAGGACAAAGTAGATTCTTAATAAAGCTAATGTAGCTATTTTGCACACACACACACATATTCACACACACACACACACACACACACACACACACAGAATCAGTATACATCCATCCCTAGAAAGAATACAGATTTCCCACGTAAATTAGACAGGGGAATATAAAAATTAATTTTTAATTGTCAGCCGGGCGCGGTGGTTCATGCCTGTAATTCCAGCACTTAGGGAGGCCGAGGCGGACAGATCGCCTGAGGTCAGGAGTTCGAGACCAGCCTGGCCAACATGGTGTAACCCTATCTCTACTAAAAATACAAAATTAGCCAGGCATGGTGGCGCGCACCTGTAATCCCAGTTACCCAAGAGGCTGAGCCAGGAGAATCACTTGAACCTGGGAGGTGGAGGTTGCAGTGGGCCGAGATCGCGCCACTGCACTCCAGACTGGGCAAAAAGAGTAAAACTCCATCTCAAAAAAAAAAAAAAAAAAAAAAAAAATATATATATATATATACGTACATATATATACACATATCTATACACATATATATACACATATATATACACGTATATATACACACATATATACGTATATATATACACATATATATGTCAAAATATATTAAATTTTAGATACTTGAGAAGACAGCCATCCAATGCCCATAGTCAACACCCTTTAATCCTTCTTCCCCTGTTGCCATTCATGAGGCCAGGTTGGTTCCACAATGGAAAAGCTCTTTATAAGCTATAAAATGCTGTACACATATAAACTCTTGGGATTACAGATTTTGAAATTTACCCCAAAGATATATTGTGTTTTGCTTATTCAGAAGGAATGGTGCTATGTTGCAAACAACAGCAGAAGCATCAATAGTGTTGGATAAACAATTCCAGTTAGGCCCATTTTTCATGGTGATATGATCTGAAACACTCTCATCGTCTAATTTAAAATACTCACGAAGATATATTAAATTGTAAAAACGTTCAGGATTACAGAAAACCAAGCATGTGGATGTTGAGAGAAAGGGGTGAGCGGTTCTACTAGTTGCGGTTCAGTAGGGTTAGACTGAGAAACACAACTGACTCAGTCACAAGCCATTGGAAGCTACCTGAGACCATACCAATAAAAAAAGCTAAAGTACCACTGCAATCAATCAGACATCAGTGCCAATTTACTGGGCTTTCCTTATGTAACTGCTGAAATGCAATTTGATTATACTACCACTGAAGTAGACGGTGCCCCCATGTAGACACTTGTTTCAAAACACTCCTCACTTGCACCATCCTGTCTTGCTTGAGTGGTTCTGCAATTCAGACAGCAAGTTTGCTGTGCACACATTGCAACTGCTGGCAAGCCTACCCTTAACTCAGAAAGCAGCCAGCTGAGAGCTAGCCAACATTGAGGAGACATTGTCAGCAGAAATTTTGAACCAAAATCATACACACGCAGAGCAATGACCAGCGGTGAGTGGCAGGTTTTATCATTCAAGTTTTAAACATTTAATCTGCCTTCTAGAAAGGCAACTGGTTCAGGGACTTTCAAAAGAAAACAGACAGAACAATGAATACGGACCAGTAGGGAACATTTTTTTTCCACCGTGAAAACAAGCAAAAAAAAAAACTGTAAATGTATTTTGAATAAGATTGTAATTCTATCCAATTCACCTCTATCCTTAGTGACTGAAAGTGACTAAAATTCTATAAGCTATGAGTAACAGAAAGATTGTAAAAGGTAATTCTCAATATAATAAAATACTCTGTCATGTTCAGTACATAAAATGTAAGTTACTTAATTTAAACATACAGAAATCAGTAGGTAGTTCATTAATTTAAAATAGGCCTGTTCCTGCCCACAGTAAATAAATCTAAATAAATATTTAAAGAATGTCTACTTGAAATGACAATAAATCAGTAGGCTGTGCAATGTAGTATTGTGTTCTAGGCAGATTCTATTAAATATATAATCCTTGACTAAGTATATCCAAATCTCTGGACTAGCATAGAAGCTATGGCTGGAAATAAGATATAGATATAGATATAGATACAGATATTTAAAATCAACAAAACACTAAGTCCCTGTCTGGCATTCAGTGTCTGTCTCTAGTTCAGGGATTCTGTGGTTGCTCTAGTCACAAATCCAATAAAACACCCTCTTTCCTGCATGGGAAATATTTTTTAAACTTGTCATTCAAATTCACAAACCTGGAAGCACACAAATGATAAAGATGTTAGCAAATTTTATGCCAGGATATGAAGTCACCTCAAAATAAGTGGATATGCAAAAGCAGAAAGAAAAAGTTCCAGGAGCTGTTCTTGGCAATGGGGGTTTACGAGTGTAGCAATTATAAAAACAAAAAACCAGGCCAGGTGTGGTGGCTCACGCCTATAATCCCAGCATTTTGGGAGGCCAACGTGGGCAGATCATTTGAGGTCAGGAGTTCAAGACCAGCCTGACCAACATGGAAAAACCCTGTCTACTAAAAATACAAAGAATTAGCTGGGTGTGGTAGTGCACAACAGTAATCCCAGCTACTCAGAGGCTAAAACAGGAGAATTGCTTGAACTCGGGAGGCAGAGACTGCAGTGAGCTGAGATCACGCCACTGCACTCCAGCCTGGGTAACATACAGAGACTCCGTATCAAAACAACAACAACAACATAAACCAACAAACAAGGACAGCAAGATGAAACAAGATACATATAATCTGAACACCAGAATTAACACAAAGCTCGGCCATACACACAACAATGACCCCTCCCAGACCTAAACCTGACAAAGGGATTCTACCAGTACTCAAGGGGAAGGAAAAGGGTTAGGATACTGCAGTTATCATACATGTTAGCTAAACTAAGACAATGCTAGGTGATGTCTCATTGTTCAACTACTAAAAGCAGATTTTCTCCAGCCCACAGGAAAATGAACATTAGCTAGAACATGAAAAAGAAAGAGAATTTACTTCTGAAGAGGATTGATATGGTTTGGATCTGTGTCCCCACCCAAATCTCAGCTTGAATTGTAATAATTCCCACATGTCAAGGGCAAGGCCAGGTGAAGTAATTGAATCATGAGGGCGGTTTCCCCCATGCTGTTCTCGTGAGTGAGTCTCACAAGATCTGATGATTTTATACATGTCTGGCATTTCCCCTGCTTGCACACATTCTCTCTCCTGCTGCCCTGTGAAGAGGTGCCTTTGGCCATGATTGTAAGTTTCCTGAGGCCTCCCCAGCCATGCAGAAACTTGAGTCAATTAAACATCTTTTCTTTATACCAGTTTTGGGTATTTTTTCATAGCAGCATGAGAACAGACTATTATATTAAATTATTATAATATATATAATTTCATTATATTATTATATTAATACTAGATTAAGTTTAAAAAACTGTTAACCTTCTCAGGAAACTTGTACAGATGCTCCTTAACTTATGATGGGGTTGGGTCCTGATAAACCCATTATATGTTGAAATATTGTAAGTTGAAAGTGCCAATATTTTCAGTGTAGGATTGGTTTATCTGGATGTATTACTTTTGTACCGTTATAAAGTTGAAAAATCAGAAGACAAACCATCATAAGTTGGAGACGATCTGTATTATTTTTGCTTTGTACAGTGAATAATTGCTTAGATTTACTCACATAGTTACCATTTTGTTACTTTTCATTCCCTCCTGGATTTCCATGTTTCTATCTGAAATATTCTCCCTTATTCTCGAGGAATCCCCTTTCGTATTTCTTGTAGTGCTGGCTTCCTGGTGAAGAATTCTCAGAATCTTTGCCTGCAGATATTTTTTATTTCGCCTCTACTTTTGAAGAAGCTTTTCACTAAGAATTCTAGGTTGGCAGTCACTTTCTTTTTGTATTTTAAAGATATTATTCCATTGTCTGACTTTTATTGATTCTTTTGAGAAGTCAGTCATTAGTTTTATTGCTGATATAGTGAATAATAATACATCTTTTAGTCTCAGGCTGTTCTGTTTTTTATATTTTATTCCCCTGCCTTTGGTTTGAAACAGTTGTACTATGATGAAGTTAGGACTTTTTTAAAATTTCTAATTTGTCTCTACTTTGGTTCACAGCTGTTCATGAAACTTTAGTTTGTTTATTCTCATCAATTTTGAAACATTCTCAACCATTTTGTCTTCAAATATTGCTCCTGCACCATTCACTTTCTTTCTCTGTTATTTCAACTAAAAATATAGAACATCCTCATTGTGTTTAGTGTCTTTTATGAACTTTTCGTATTTCCCATTCTTTTACTTTCTGTGCTTGAGTCTTTCTTGACATGCAACTGTATACCCTTTCTTTAGCCGTGACACTCTGCTGTCAAACACATCTATTGAATCTTTAAGTTATTCTTTCAGTTCTACAATTTCTCTTAATAAGTTTCGTGTCTCTGGTTAAATTGCTCATCTCATCCTCTATTATCTTAAACACAGTAATCAGCAGAAACTTAAAATCTTGCTTTGTCTTCTGCGGTAGTCTGCATCAGCCACGAGGCTAATTCTATTGTCTTTTCCTTTTGGACATGTTTCTTGGTATGTATGGTATTTTTTTTAATGAATTCTAGTCATTGTGCATAAAAAATTTGAGAGGCACGGCCGGATGTGGTGGCTCATGCCTGTAATCTCAGCACTTTGGGAGGCCAAGGCAGGTGGATCACCTGAGGTCAGGAGTTCAAGACCAGCCTGGCCAACATGGTGAAACCCCGTCTCTACTAAAAATACAAAAAATTAGCTAGGCATGGTGGCACATGCCTGTAATCCCAGCTACTTGGAAGGCTAAGACAGGGGAATCACTTGAACCTGGGGGCAGAGCTTGCAGTGAGCTCAGATTGCACCATTGCACTCCAGCCTGGGCAACAGAGTGAGACTCCGTCTCAAAAAAAAAAAAAAGAAAAAAAAATTGAGAGGCTCTAGATGATGATATATCCCTCCAGAAGCCACTCATCTCATTTTCTGACAGACAACTGGAATGCTAGGAGGTTTTCTCAATGTAACTGACTGAGACTGTGTCAGATATTGAAAGGCTTCATTCTATCTCCTCGAATGTAGGACCACCACCCTTCTCCCCAGGGATTCCTTAATGAGAGTATGGGATGTTTACCAAGGCTCCTTTTGGGATATTCTTTACTCCAATTTTTGTCTTACTAGCAAAAAAGTGACACTGCTGACATCTTTGCTGGATTTCCACTTTTTGCTTAGATTTGGATTTCTTGATCTATGTAGCCTACACACAAAAAAATACCTGGAGGGCAAATAGCCACTTATATTTTATCACTCCCAAGACATCTCCCTGTACTTCATTTATCTCCAGAATCTTGGACCTCAAGTCCTGCCATCACTGGTCTCTACTTCTATTTTTGTTTCCCAAGCCCCATGGAATTGCTCAAAATTCTGCTGGGTTTCTTGCCCCTTAGCATTTGCCCTCAGACTCTCACTGCACCAAGCTTAAGAATTGGCTCATGCCCCAAGAGTAATGCTACATTACTCAGTCCACATTACTCATTGTGGACTCTCCTCAGTGAGCTGTTCATCTCAAAAATACTGGGCCAAGTCCTGGCTTGGCTTCTGAGAAGCTCCACAACACCCTCAGACAGGTTGAATTTGAGTGAATGTGTGTATACATTGTATCCATTTTCTGATTGTTCTCAGTGGGAGCATTTTGTCTGCTATAAATTCTTCCATCTTAGACAAAAGCCAGGAGGCTTTAAATTGCTAGTGGGAGTTCCTTATAATACAAATAGGAAAAAGAAAGAGAGAGAGAGAGAGAAAAAATGGATGGCTTCCCAAAAAGTATATAAAAGAAAGAGAAGTATGTGGTAGCAGTTTCCAGAGTTTCCAGATACATCTCCTACCCCCTGGTGGGACCTATAATCTTTGACACTGCCACATTGTGCCATAGTATCAGCTACATGATTGATGATGTGATCCCAGCTAGTTGGATATTCCTGATTTCATCTACCTAAATATATGACCTGAATATGAAAATCTCTTCAACTCCCTCCCAGCTTTATAATGTGTTAACTAACTGATAGTTCTTTAATGACTTCAATGGTTTATTCATATGTCATAAGCTGACAATTAAATTCCTTGTTGATCAAACCACGTAGTAGGTAAAGTCAAGGGGAAATCTACCTGCCCTCTTAATTTTTTTCATTTCGTTTATGCAGGAGGACGTTGTCTCTCAGCTCTAAGTAACATGCCATAGTGGTATTTATTTATTGTTTTCATGGAAGCAGTTTTGATTTTCAAATAAATGTGCATAGAAGAGATATTTGAAAAAAAAAAAGACAAGATTGCTTCCACCTTTATTTTGCAATTTTGCATTCAATGCTTTAAAAACAAATTTCCCTAAATAATCTGTTACTCTTTGGTGACTTAAGGAATAAAATAACCTGGTCAATGCACTGATTAACAGACCTTTAACACTGGCATAAAATTGTATTTGTAAAAACATGACATTCTTTATAAGTTTTATCACTCCTCAGGAATCTGTATTCTGCTAAACTACCAGGAGTGTCTCACTTTTCCTCAGACTAGCTCTTGCTGACAGTGGTACTGCACTGGGATATATTCAAAATTTCTTAATATGATAACTTGTTAGATTTTCCTAGAAGTTTAATTTAATGTTTATAAAAGTAGACAGTTCCTATTTAAGTAGATATTAATAGGAGATATACATCATATCTCGGTCTTATAAGCTCGGTTAAAACGTCTCCCCTTTGCCCTCTTTAGCGAAAATCAAAGCTGTGAATTTGCTTTGTCTGGTAATAGACTAATACCAAGCGCTTACCTCCCCCTTACCCCCTGAAAAATTTGTTCCTATTTCAGCTTAATTTTTCCTCAAAAGAAAATGTTTCCTCCATCACTTTCCCTCATACCCACGGGGTATGTTCATAACATTTCTAACTTTGTTAAATATCTTTTTTCTTTTCTTTTCTTTTTTTTTTTTTTTTTTGAGGCGGAGTCTCGCTCTGTCGCCCAGGCTGAAGTTCAGTGGCGCCATCTCGGCTCACTGCAAGCTCCGCTTCCCGGGGGTTCACGCCATTCTCCTGCCTCAGCCTCCTGAGTAGCTGGGACTACAGGCGCCCACCACCACGCCCGGCTAATTTTTTGTATTTTTTTAGTAGAGACGGGGTTTCACTGTGTTAGCCAGGATGATCTCGATCTCCTGACCTCGTGATCTGCCCGCCTCGGCCTCCCAAAGTGCTGGGATTACAGGCGTGAGCCACCGCACCGGGCCTGTTAAATGTCTTAATTTCTGACTAAGCATGAAAAACTAAGTCAAAAAAGGTTCATTAAACTAGCCTTGTAGCTGGAAGATTACTGAGTTATCTTTCTATTCTTGCTTTGTACTATTGTCAACTAATAATTTTATAAACTAATTCTAATTTTAATTTTCAGCAATGGGGTGGATTAAATAAGAAATATTTAAACCAACCCCTTTTATAAGACACCTAGAAATATGAGAGGAAAAAATATATAGTAAATGTCCCTGTAGACATATAGGTGAAACCATGAGAATGTAATGAAAAATCCTCAGAAGGCTAAAATGAAGAGGTCACTGCAAACCAGATAAGCAATACGCTAAAGTTTCAGGAATCTTTAGGAGTTTGATTGGTTAGAACAATGAATTTAAGGTTTTTTTAAGCCCATGCCAAAGCACAAAACAAGGCAAAGCATCCACTCAAGACAGGGAGGTGGAGAACAGATTGCAAATAAAGCTGAGACTCCTCTCCTGCTCCATTATGGGATGAATTGTATCCCCCTAAATTCATATGTTGAAGTCCTAATTCCTAGTACCTCATAATGTGACTATATTTGGCAATAGAGTCTGTAAAAAGGTGATTAACTTAAAATGAGGCTGTTAGGTTGCATCTTAATGCAACCTAACTGGTGTCCTTATTAGGAAGTTTGGACACAGAGAGAGGGACTTACACACACAAAGAAAAGACCACCTGAAAACATAATGAGAAGGTGGCCATCTGCCAGCCAAGAAGAGAGGCCTCAGAAGAAATCAAACCTGCGAACATCTTGAGTTAGGACTTCCAGCCTCCAGAACTGTGAGAAAATAAATATCTGTTGATTGAGGCATTTGATCTGCAATAGTTCATTATGGCAGCCCTAGCAAATTACCTCCCTAAAAAACTACATTCTTAGTAAAAGGAAGGATGAGAGAAATTGCAACCACCATTAATGGGAGATAACAAAGAACTTTGCCTGTCTCCACAAGGGTGGAAGAAAAAGTCTCCCCTAGTACCTGTAACCACAGTGCTGTACCTCATGCAGTTTTGAGATTCACATTTAAACTACCTGACAAAACAAGAAATTGACATAAGAAGTAGTCACAATTTCAAATAGGGTATCTACCAAAGTTCTCACTATATAGCATTTGAATAAAGACTTGAAAGAGGTGAAGGATGAAATAATGTTGGTGTCTGGAAAAGAATGTTAAAGGTAGAGAGAAACAATAACTTAATCCCCTGAGTGAGCCTAGAACCTGCAGTGACTCCTATTGGGTCATCCTCAGACCCTCAAACGTATGCTTCTCTCTCGTTTTATGCTGTGCTTCTCCACACTGGGCCCTTGGATGTATGACAAGTTACTGAACCATGGGACAGCAACACTTGGGAACCAAAGAAAACACAGAAATTGGTAACACCAGGCTCACTTCACAGTAGATCTGGGCCTCAGGTTTGGCCTAACAACTGCAAACGCAGGACTGCTCTGCAGGGCATCTTCAAACAGCAAGACCAATTTGAACATCGATTGAGCACTTCTACAGGCCAGACATTAAGTTCAAAGACACAAAGCATAGTATGAAATATTCTCACATATGTCTCTTAGGAGTTGTGGAAGAAAAGTGTAAAGAAAATGGGAAAAGATTAATGTTTCCAAGGCTAAGAATTCCCCCAAATTGATTAAAATATAAAACCATATATTCAAGATCAACAGGTCCTAAACAGAATATTAATAATAAATTCAAACCTAGATACATACTTAAAACAGCAAAACTCCAAAAAATAGACAAAATCTTACAATAATAATTTAAAATAACCCTTCACCTTTCTTTAAAATTGCTTCCAACCCTTAACAGATAAAAACCAAACACTCATTCAGGGGTGCATGACTTTTCTCAAACTGGACCAACTCTACTACTTATTTTTCTACCATTTCCAATAAGTACATCTTCAGTTCATAACCTTTGCATGTCATGTGCCTTCTAAACTCAGTTTTCTCATTTTTCTTTTTCCAGAGTACCCTCCTCTCTGTCATCATCACTTAAAATCTTATCCATGGTACGAGACCATCCTGGCTAACATGGTGAAACCCTGTCTCTACTAAAAATACAAAAAATTAGCTGGGCGTGGTGGCAGGCGCCTGTAGTCCCAGCTACTTGGGAGGCTGAGGCAGGAGAATAGTGTGAACCTGGGAGGCAGAGCTTGTCGTAAGCCAAGATCGCGCCACTGCACCCAGTCTGGATGACAGAGTGAGACTCAGTCTCAAAAAAGAAAACAAAAACAAACAAAAAAAAAAACAAAAAAACTCTTACCCATGGTATAATTTACAGGCTGATCTCACCTCCATCTTGAGACCTTTCTTAGTCATCCCAGCTTAGGTCTGTGACACTCACTATGCCACACACCCACATAAGGTCTTGCATTGTTCCTGCTTAGGGACATATGTCTCCTTGTTCAAGTGAACTAAGGTCTCTTAAATGATGAGTACAATGACAATGGTTTAAAGCCGTAGTTCTGACTTTTGGATCTAACAGATTTGTAAGATTCAAGGTGATAAAGCATTTCCAGCTTTTCTTTTTGCTGAAAGTACGTCAAAAATCCTACAACCATCTACTATCTATGTCATGTTATAAGAGAAGATTTTAATAATGAAAATCTAATAAGGATATAATCTCACATAAATTGGATAAATTTACCTTAATATGAAGCTCACTATGTTTTTCTTATTTTTCTCTCTTTACTAACAATAACTAATAAAATCTTGATCAAACAACAGTCCCAGTTGCTTCCAGGCCAGCAGGTAGAAATCACTGTTCTGCTATATTCTGATTCCCTTCCTTCTTGCTCCTGGACTTTCAGCAGAGAAAAGATTTAAATAATCATTAAATAATCAAATCAAAATTATTTTTACTTCCTCACATTATCTTATTTTGATCACCCTGACCAGGTCATTGAGAGTTCTTTTTAATATATAGGTTATCAATCCAAAAAAATTTTTACCTTTTCAGAATTTTTGAAGCTTTCTGTATCTTCTTGTTGAAGAAGCAGTTTTAATGCCACTCTGTTTCATGTATTTAAGGATATATTTCAAAAACTACTTCTAGTTTTCTTTTATTGTCTCTTATGTTGACCTTTATTTCTTACTTTTTCTTTTTATTGTAACTCCAAATTTATTTGCTATTTTGTAGCAGTCTCTTTTCTCTAAGTTGGCCTGATTTTTTACTTCTGTGCTTTTCTCATTTATACTTAGATGTTTACATAACCTAATCACTTCTTTCTTCCGACAGTTCTTGTTTACAAAACAATGTTTTCCCTTGTGCACTTAGAATTAATTAGTTTTACAAAGTTAATTTTTCTATTAGTAAAGCAATACAAATTAATTACAAAATTTTTAACACTTTTTTTAAGTGAAAAAATACTTTACAAATCTTACTCTTAAAGATAATCATTGCTAACATTGTAATGTGTTCCCTTATAGACTTCTTCTGGGTATGAGCACTGCTTCCCAGTAGATAAAGGATACTATCTATCTCTCTACCTACCTACCTATCTAGTATAATTAACAAAAGACTATTAAAAGGTTTTAGATGGAAAATAATACAAAGGAAGAACCTATTTAATAATAAAATCTACCATTATTTATATTACCACCACTAGAAAATGAGACAATGAATCAAATCACATTATACAAATTTTGAATGTAAAGAAAATCATGACCTAGGTTTCTTAGCAATCAAAGTGACGATTACCTTGATCTATGCAACTCTGCTTTTGACGATGGAGAAAGAAAATGCTTTTGGCAGAAGACATACATGCAGCCAACAAGCACATGAAAAAAAGCCCAACATCGCTGATCGTTAGAGAAATGCAAATCAAAACCACAATAAGATACCTCTCACACCAGTCAGAATGGCTATTATTAAAACATAAAAAAATAGCAGATGCTGGTGAGGTGGCAGAGAAAAGGGAACACTTATACACTGTTGGTGGGAGTGTAAATTAGTTCAAACATTGTGGAAAGCAGTATGGTGATATACTTCACATACAATTTGCCTGTCTTCTTGGAAAACCTTGGCAGCCCAGAGGCCTGCAGTTGGAGGAACCATGTTACTCATTCATTCATTCATTCTCCTTCAACTGCACTCCCCACCCCATGAATATCTCACCAGCCACTGCTGATGGGACCAGCTGTTAGTATCAGAACTCAAATCTGGCCCATATATAAAGTAACTTTACTTGTTTTTGATTTTCAATTTTTCTTGGAAACTGGCCTCAGAAAATGAATCATATTACTGTGCAGGCCAAGTATACTCAAGGGTAGAGATTTCTCTTCCGAGGGTTGCAATATTGGACCACTTTCAAAGAGAAACAAAGGCAAAAGACCATGTAGCTTCAGAAAGAGAAAGATATCCATTTTTCTAGATCCGAAGACTTTCTTATACTCAGGTTCAATCTGCACAAAGCTCACCTCTACTTTCTGTCTTGGATTTCTCTGCTTTGAGCAACACTTATCTTCCCTTTCTGTTGAGCTATTTTCAGTGTATTTTTGTACCTTGCAAGTAATGACTAAATGGGGTACAAGGTAGGAAAAGAGGTAAGAGGTTTTATGTGAATTGTGGAAAGATGGATGGAGTTTCACAAAAAAGCATCAAAAAATTGGAGAGGAAGACAAAAAAGAAAAAGAATTAAAGAGAAGGAAACACTCCTCACACAGGTAAGCTTTGTCCTATATTGCAAAGTTCACTAAGAAAATACTGCAAATTTTTAAAAATATTTTATTTAACTTATTATTATTATTATTTGAGATGGAGTTTCGCTCAACTTATTATTTTTAAAGCAGGTAGTTTGAAAACAAACTGCAAAATGTAGTCTTTTCACTGTGGGCAGCACCTTATATCTCAGTTTAATTTTTTTAGCTTTGCTGGGCAGCCAGAAATTTGAGCAGAGTTTATATTCAGAATCTGAGGCTCCCTCGGATATGGTTAGGCTTTGTGTCCCCACCCAAATCAAGTCTATAAGGGAACACATTACAATGTCAAGTATATCATGACCTCTGAAATCAATAATTGGTGATTGGTAATTATAATGGTACAGCACTTAATAACAGTAGCTAAATTATTTTCATGGTGAGTGCACTACTAGACTTGTTAAGCCGAAAGTATTCTCTGTTTTAAAAACACTTTTATTTTAGGTTGGGTGATACATGTGAAGGTTTGTTGCACAGGTAAATTTGTGTTGCAGGAGTTTGTTGTACAGATTATTTCATCAGCCGAGTACCCAAATCTCATCTTGCGTTGTATTCCCCAGGTGTTGTGGGAGACACCTGATGAGAGGTGACTGGATCACGGGGCCAGTTTCCCCCATGCTGTTCTCAGGATACTGCGTGAGTTCTCATGAGATCAGATGGATTTTTAAGGAGCTCTTCCCCCTTTGCTTCCTTCACACACTCTCTCCTCTGCCTTTTGAAGAAGGTCCTTGTTTCCCCTTCACCTTGCACCATGATTGGAAGTTTCCTGAGGCCTCCCCAGCTATGTGGAACTGTAAGTCAATTAATCCTCTCTTCTTTATAAGTTACCCAGTCTTGGGTATTTCTTTATAGTAGTGTGAGAATAGACTAATACACCCTCTCTCTAGTTTTCTCCTTTTCTAGTATGTCCCCCCTTGATTTTCAGTGGTTGTGGTTGACTGATGAACTCTCTTTGCTGGTTAATCAAGCAAACTTGTAGGATTTTCATCAGTTTTTTTTTTTCTCTACAAGTACAAACTGGGGCCTCCCCCCAGGGTAGACATTTCAAAAACAGGAATCTCACCAGACTTCGTTCCCTTCGTCCATCTCCCCTCTAATCCTAAGTTAGAGTGTCATCTCCCTTCTAATTTCTGCCTGCTTTTTTTTTCACTCTCCAATGTCATAAGATGGTTGTTTTATATGTGGTTTTTCAATGGTTGATAGTTTTTATCAACCCTAGGAAGAGTGGTCTGATAAGAGCTATTTGGCCCTACTGGAAGCAGAATGCTTCTGCAAGACTTTTTATAGTCTAACTTTTTCAGTCTTAAGTCCTCTTTGTCTTAACCTCTCAGACAGATGAAGTACCTCTTTAAGTAATCATTTCACAATGCATATAGACAAATAGAATATATTCTGAATTCATATGTGCCATTCTATTCCCTTTCCATAAAAATCAACTTGGCTAGCTAAATATGTGTAGCTCAATTGACATTGCATATTGCAGTGAAGAGTACTGGAGAGCCAAACAATGGGACAGGAGAAATTTCTATTTGAATCTAACAAAGCCATACAATATGAATGCAATAAATTCAAGCTATGAGTCTGTAAAACAAAATTGACACATTTTAACAGACTATGGCCAAGGACATTCTATATACTCTTTGGCTGCTCTATATACATAGATCACCTCTGTATAAAGAATGAAGAAAATCATAACAAAAAATAAAATCCAAAATGAAACCTTTATTAATCAAGGACTCGGCAAAAAATAATAAATAAATAAGCTGGATACAAAAAAATAATTTATAAAGGTATAGATGGTGCAGATCTCCAGGGTTAGCAACCACAGGGAGTTGTTTCTGCCCCAAGTCTGAAAGGGCAAGGTCAAGGAACAGTTCTAGAAAGGATATCTATATGCAAAGGACCCCTCACAAGAGTCCTCCCAAGTCTCAAGGAGCTGGAAATAATAGATGAAGGGAAATAAACATTCTAATTTCATTCTCTTCCTGCCCTCCAGTCTCCTGCTGGTGCTCCCATTTGCTGAACTCAACTGGAAGCCAGAGGATTCTCCAGCTTGTTGGTGCAGTCCATGGATATTAGCCTCACAGGGCACACTGTGAGGGCACAAAGGATGGAAAAGAATAAAGAGTGGCCTAGAGGGTCAAACAGAAAAAGACTCTAGTACAGAACCCATGAAAAATTTACTGCAGATGAAAGGGAAGAAAACTTCACGCTAAAGCAAAAAAGAAGTACAGACTTCTGAAAAATATTTACTATAGGAACTAGAAGAGCATTTTAAAATAAGCTTGGTATTCTCAGTAGGATAAAAAAAAGAGCAAATCTCTATGAAACAGAAAGCTTATAAGGAGAAAAAAATATTCAGAGGTAGGTAAAGCTAGGTGAAATAATGACTCTTTTTTAAAAAATTAAAGATATAGAAGCAAAAGCAATAACCAGAAAAACTGACATGTTTGAAACTCAAATAAGTTCTAGTCAATATGGCAAATTAGCCAATGTAGAAGATCTTTCCTCCCACTTCAAATGTAGAAATGATCCATGAACATTTTACTAATAAAATACAACAGTTAAAATTTAAATTCAAAGCCAAGCTTAAAACTAAAAATGAGATATCCCTGGTACTAGAAAATAAGAGAAAACTTAAAGCACTATTGAGTGAGAATGAAAACAAATGTCTTATAGAACATCCTAATTTGATATATCTCTAAATGCCTGGATTTTTGACAACTTCAGTGAGATGCTTAGGGTGTCTATAGGCCTGGTGCATAGGAGATGAAAGTTTTATACATAAAGAGAAGAGATTTATACATAAAGAGAAGAATCTGCCAGAGTTATCCTGTCCAATTAAGAAAATGTGCACATATACACCATGGAATACTATGCAGCCATAAAAAAGGATGAGTTCATGTCCTTTGTAGGGACATGGATGAAGCTGGAGAGCATCATTCTCAGCAAACTATCGCAAGGACAAAAAACCAAACACCGCATGTTCTCACTCGTAGGTGGGAATTGAACAATAAGAACACTTGGACACAGGGAGGGGAACATCCCACACCAGGACCTGTCATGGGGTTGGGGGAGGGGGGAGGGATAACATTAGGAGATATACCTAATGTTAAATGGTGAGTTAATGGGTGCAGCACACCAACATGGTGCATGTATACATATATAACAAACCTGCATGTTGTGCACATGTACCCTAAAACTTAAAGTATAATAGTAATTAAAAAAAAGAGCTATCCTGTCCATTTTAAAAGGCTGGAGAGACTGCCACTGGCTTTGGGTAAAAAGGTGTCTGATCTCTATGGATCTCTGGAAGAATAACTGTAACCTGCAGGAAATAGAAAACACAAACTTGTGGAGGCCATGTCTGAATTTGCACATTTACCCAGTATGGGAAGCACAGAGCCAAGACATTTACCTAAAAGCTGGAAGGACAGTCTCACAACTCAGATCACTCAGTCTTCCTATTAAAAAATAACTCCCACGGATGAGCTCATAGTACAAATTCCAGCATGTACACACAAAAAAACATTGCTTAGGCTGGAGTTTGCAGCTACAAAAATGGAAAAATTCATGTCCCATCAATCATTTTAGACAAATCTAAAAGAGATATTAAGAAACAGATGTAAAATATTCAGAGGTGAAAGTAACATAACCAAAATTTAAGAACAAACATAATAGGGAAAAGAGAAGAGTCAGATCTGAAGAAGAAAATGCAAATTCTAGAATTAAATAATATAGTTCATTTTCATTAAAAACTCAAAACTTTGGGCAGTTATGTTGAACTGGCCAAAGAGAAAATTGATAAAATGATTGATAAATATAAAGAAATTACTCAGAATACAGCATAGCCAAATAAAAGGGAAAGAAAATGTGAAAGTTAACATACAAAGAATTAGATGTTCCAACTTATTTCCAGTACTATTGTAGAACTTCCAGAAAATGAGGGGAGGCCCTTAAAGCGATAATGTTGAAAAATGTTTTAGAGTTGAAGAGAGCATGAATACTCAGATTAAAAACACCTGTCAAAGAGAGAAGATGGCTGACTAGATGCGGCTAGGATGTGCCTTTTTCATGGAGAAGAAACAAATTATCAAGTAAACCTTCATACTTTGAACACATCTTTTGGGAGAAAACACTGACATTTAATAGAAAGGCAATGGAAGGCACCACGGTTGAAGAAGGAGGAAGTGTTTCTGCCTGCACAGCAACGCTGGGTATGATGACCAGCCCCAAGACCCGGATCAGACCCAAGGAAGGGGTGAGTGAAAGAACCCTGGGGCACCACATTCCTGCCATGGACCTCTGAGATCCTAGCTACTAGAGTTCTCGTGACTCACAGGTCTTGGACTGGCAGGGGGAGCTACCTGAAGAATGTGCAAGACACTACCTAAGCCTATGTGGAACCCAAAATGTTCATATGCCGGGCAGCTGCAGCAAAACACAATTCTGGGAGCCCACCCTCCAAGGCTCTGTGTCTTGCCCTAAGTGGCTGCAGCTCCTGCTGTCTCCTGGCCAGGAGAGAGCAGGGCTGTGGCATGCTCACACACCCAAGACAGGCCCCATGCCAATGCCTTGGGACTGGGGTGCATCTGAACCATGCACCCTCATGCCTGCCAGTTCTTCCTGAGACTGCCCACCTGGCTATACCCTCAGGAGAGGGCCCACAGTATAGCCTTCATTGCTCTGCCTGCGTGGTTTGTTGGTGGCCTAGGAGCAGTTCACAGGCGGTGCTTGATCCTGAGGGGCTGGAGGACAAATCTGCTGGCCTGATCCCAGTTCCCTGGAACTCAAGCATACCATCCAGGGGTATGCTGATGAAAACTGTGGCTTGATCTCAAATGGGGAAGTAACCCCACTGTCAGAACACAGAGTGTGGTGCAGGTTAATGTGGTGGCACTGGAACTGAGCACTGCTAATGTCATGGGACCTGGTTGAAAAAGGTGTGGCTTGATAGCTGTGGTTTCTGCTGCAGGGAGTCGGGTGGTCAAAATGCCTGGAATGGCAAGGTGATCTGGGTACCGGTGGGTAGGGACTAGCCTAACTAGTCAGATCTGTTGCCATGGCTGGACACCAGGTGGAGGCTCACTAGGATGGGGATGTGGGAGCCGGGTGGGCCCCATGGCTACCTGCTGGGGCCTCCCCTCTTCCCCTAAGCAAACTCTGTGGTATAGGAGATGCACCTCTGCCCCGCTTCAGGTGGCTGCTCCAGTGGCCTGAGAGATGCCCATGGACCCCTGCCAAGGTCAGAGCTTGCACCTGCCTCAAAGAGCCTGGTTGCAGGCTCTCCTGACTCAGCTCCACCTAGCTTTGCCCCCCTCCGGCTGCCTTGGTGATAGAGCATACAACTGTACCTCTGGGAACCCAATATCCTGCTCATTGCCAGGAACACTCTGGTACTTTTTCTGATTAACAAAAGCCAAGTAAAAAGTCAACTGTCATTACTGCAACCACCTCTCACCTGCAAACACTTACCTACTGGCCCAGAGATCAAACTGTGCAGTGCATCACAACTTCTATTGTCATGGAACAGTGTTCAGCCAGCTTAAGCCATAAGCACCACCTACTGGCCTGTAGGGTGAACTGCATAAATCAATGTAATTTCTCCTGGCCGATTTGCACAGTGCTGGGGAATGAGATAAGCCTCCCAAGACGTCCACCTCCCCAACCCTGTAGGAGACAGTGAGCCTGACTACATGCACAGCACACCACAACTACAACCTACAGACAACTAGCATTTGAAAAAAACCACTACATTATTGCTATCAATAACCAAGGAATTCTTACAGAGCCTTGGTCCCCTAAAAGCAAATAGAAGCAAAGCCAAAGGACCCTACTCAACATATTCAACAGTCACACCCTCAAGGGGGAAGGAAAAAAATCCTGCAAAAAAGAAAGGAAATTCAAAAATAAGAAGTGACAGCTTCTACAGATGAGAAGAAAGCAGCACACAAACTCTAGCACCATAAAGAAACAGAATATTGTGACATCCCCCAGAGGACCACACTAGCTCTCTAGCAATGGAACCTAACCAAAATGAAAACTTTGAAATGACAGATAAATAATTCAAAATATGGATTGTAGGGAAGCTCAATGAAATCCAAGAAGAGATGGAAATCAACACAAAGAAACCAGAAAAATAATTCAGGAGATGAAAGTCAAGATAGATATAGATTCCCCCGCTCCAAGACGGAGTCTTGCTCTGTTGCCAAGACTGGAGTGCAGTGGCACCATCTCGGCTCACTGCAACCTCCGCCTCTTGGGTTCAAGCGATTCTCCTACCTTGGCCTCCCAAGTAGCTGGGATTAGAGGTGCACACCACCACACTCAGAAATTTTTGTATTTTTAGTAGAGACGGGGTTTCACCACATTGGCCAGGCTGGTCTCAAACTCCTGACCTCGTGATCCACCCCCCTTGGCCTCCCAAAGTGGTGTGATTACAGGTGTGAGCCACCGTGCCTGGCCTAGGTATGTATTTATAATAAAACAGAACTTCTAGAAATGAAAAATGCACTGAAGGAATTTCAAAGCACAGTTGAAAGCTTTAACAATAGACTAGACAAAGTAGAAGAAAGAACTGCAGAACCTGAAGACGAATCTTTTAAATTAAAAAAGTGAGACAAAAAAGTAATTTAAAAAAATTGAACAAAGCCTTACAGAAATATGGGATTATGTGAAGTGACCAGATCTACAATTTACAAGCATCTTTGAGGGAGAAGAAGAAAAAGTAAGAAGTTTTCAAGACATATTTTGAGGGAATAATGCAGGAAAATTTCCCTAATTTTGCCAGAGATGTAGACATATATATACAAGAAATTCAGAGAACACCTGGAAGATACTACACAAGATGATTATCCTGAAGGCATAAAGTCATCAGACTATCCAAGATAAATGTGAAAGAACAAATCTTAAAAGCCCTAGAGAGAAGCATCAGATCACCTATAAAGGGAATCCTATCAGACTAACAGCAGAATTCTCGGCAGAAATCTTACAAGCCAAAAGAGATTAGGAGCTTATTTTTAGTCTTCTTTAAAAGAAAAGCCATCCAAGAACTTTATATCTTGCCAAACTAAAGCTTAATAAATGAGGGAGAAATAAAATCTTTCCCCAACAAGTAAATGCTAAGGGAATTAATCACCACTAGACCAGAAATACAAGAAATACTCAAAGACGTTCTAAACATGGAAACAAAAGCACGATACTCACCATCATAAAAGTACATGTAAGTAGAAAGCTCACAGATCCTACAAAGCAATTACACATTTGAAATTCTAAGAAACTAGGTAATGAAACTATGACTGGCACAAAACCTCACATATCAATATTAACTTTAAACATAAATGGCCTAAATTCTACACTTAAAAGATAGACCAGCAAGTTGGATTAAAGAAACAAGATCCAACCAACTGCTGCCTACAAGAGACCCCCCTAATGGCTAAAGACACAATGGCTGAATACAGACACAAATTAAAGGGAAGGGAAAAGACATATAACACAAATGGAAAACAAAAAGTGAGCAGCAGTAGCTATTCTTGTATTAGATAAAACAGACTTTAATCAACAACAGTAAAAAAAAAAAGATAAAAGAGAGCATTATATAATAATAAAGCAGTCAATATAACAAGATGTAACTATCCTAACTATATATTCACCCAAGACCAGAGTATTCAAATTCATGATACAAATGTTAGTAAACTTAAGAAAAGAGATCAACAAACTTCAAAACCCCACTGACAATACTAGACAGGTCATTGAGGCAGAAAGTCAACAAAGAAACTCTGGACTTAAAATGGACTCTAGACCAAATAGACATTCACAGAACATTCTGCATTTCATATACATTTTTCTCATCTGCACATGGAACAATCTCGAAAGTTGATTATGTGCTTGGCCGTAAAACAAGTCTCAACAAATTCAAAAAAAATAATTGAAAGCATATCAAGTATCTTCTCAGAACACAGTGAAACAAAATTAGAAATCAATACCAAGAGGAATTCTCAAAACCACACAAGTACATAAAAACTGAACAACTTACTCCTGAATGACTTTTGGGTAAACAATAATATTAAGGCAGAAATGAAAATTTTTTTGAAATAATTGAAAACAGACGGAACATATTAAAATCTCTGGGATACAGCAAAAACAGGACTAAAATGAAAGTATATAGTGCTAAGAGCCTACATTAAAAATATAGAAAGATCTCAAATTAACAACCTAACATCACACCTAAAGGAACTACACAAGAAAGAACAAACCAGGCCAGGTGCGGTGGCTCACGCCTGTAATCCCAGCACTTTGGTAAGCCAAGGTGGGTGGATTATCTGAGGTCAGAAGTTTGAGACCAGCCTGGCCAACATGGCAAAACACCATCTCTACTAAAAATACAAAAAAATTAGCCAGGCATGGTGGCACACGCCTGTAGTCCCAGCTACTTGGGAGGCTGAGACATGAGAATCGCTTGAACCTGGAAGGCAGAGGCTACAGTGACCCCTGTTCACACCAGTGCACTACAGCCTGGGCAGCAGAGTGAGACCCTGTCTCAAAAAATAATTTAAAAATAAATTAAAGAACAAACCAAACCAAAACTAGCAGAAGAAAAGAAATAACAAAGATCACAGTAGAACTAAATGAGAATCACACCAAAAGAAAAAAAAAGATACAAAGGATCGATAAAACAAGAAACTCGTCCTTTGAAAGAACAAACAAAATTGATAGACTGATATGTATTAATAGTTTAAGAAAGAAAAAAAAAGAGAGAAGATTCAAATAAGCACAATCAGAAATAATAAAGGAGACACCACAACTCACACCACAGAAATACAAAAGATCATCAGAAATTACTGTGAAAATCTCTATGCAAACACACTAGAAAACCTAGAGGCAATGAATAAATTCCTGGAAACATACAACCTCCCGAGATTGAACCAGGAAAAAATAAAAATCCTGAACAGATCAATAGTGAGTTATGAAATTGAATCAGTAACAAACAAAATTCCAGTAAAAAAAAAAAAAAAAAAAAAAGCCCAGGACCAGATGGATTCACAGCCAAATTTTACCAGACATACAAAGAGCTGGTACCAATCCTACTGAAATTATTCCTTCAGGCAAGCATACAACAAAAGATGAAAACTACAGGCTAATATCTCTCATGAACACAGATGCAAAAATCCTCAACAATATACTAGCAGACCAAATCCAACAGCACATCAAAAAGATAATTCATCACAATCAAGTGGGTTTTATTCCAGGGATGCAAGGATGTTTCAACATTTGCAAATCAATAAATGTGATTTCTCACATAAACAGAATTTAAAACGAAAAACACATGATCATCTCAATAGATGCAAAAAAAGCATTTGATAAAATACAACATCTCTTCACTAAAAACCCTAAACAAACTAGGCATTAAAGGAACATACATCAAAATAGTAAGAGCCATCTATGACAAATCTACAGCCCAATTCATACTGAATGGGAAAAAGTTGAAAGCATTCTCATTAGAACTGGAACAAGACATAGATGTCCACTCTCAGCACTAATATTCAACATAGTACTGAAAAGTCCTACCCAGAGCAATCAGGTAAGAGAAAGGGAAAAAAAGGCATCCAAATTGGATAATTATCTGTTTGCTGATGAAATAATCTTATACCTAGAAAATCCTAAAGACTCCTCCTGACTTTGAGAAACAACTTCAGTAAAATTTAAGGATACAAAATTTTACACCATTTATATGTAAGCGTAAGATTGTATGTTGATATGCCTACAAACATTTCATAGTATGTTAATATTCCTCCAAGCACAACAATAAGCTGTTAGAAACACATATAAAAAGTTGTTGAACCATAAATTTCCATATGAAATAATCAGTAGAATAAATTTAAAATAAAAAATATGCAAAACTTCAATGCAAGAAAAAGCATTCTGAAAGAAGTTATTTTCCAAATGATATATTTATAATAGCCAAACTCAATGAAATTGTAATCCATAAAGGTGTGAAGTGGGATATAGTACTAAATACACTAAAAAAGTAAAATATATAATATTTTTTAATCATTTGTGTGATTGTTTAAAGCATCTGTATTATGTCCCAACTTAAAGTACAGAAAAGTAAATTGAGTGGTTTTGCTAGTGTTATTTACTGATGCAATGATACTGCCTCCTCCAATGTAACCACAGTATTAAATGCTGTTCGTTGTGAATTGGGAGGGGAGTCAGAGGGGTTCTGACAGCAAACGACATGTTAAAATTGTAACGGTTGTATGCAACTGAATGAGAAGTTCTTTGATCTGTATTCAGAATTATAGCCCCACGTGAAAAAAAAAAAAAAAGACTATACAGAGGAGTAAGAAAAGGGAGGAGATGAACCTCTACAGGAATGTCTCAGACAATACCTTCCCAAGTGATGTGGTGTTTTAAAAACATTAACACTAAGTTCATATAATTTTAATATAATTGACTTAATTATGTTAAAAGAATCCTTAGAAATTTATTTGTGTTTACATTATGGGAATCCTCATATAATACATGGTCTGCTATTAAAATTCTGTCACATTTTATTTAAATTTCTTCAATAAAGTACAATTCATATTTTATTCTATATTTATTTCTGTACTTTTAATATGTTAAGGAATATATTCCATATATTGATGAATGCCTCAAATTGAAAAACACAAAAGGTACTTCGTAAACTCTTAGCCTATTTCTTCTTTATAAACTCCTGACTTACTCCTTTATCAACACTTAGTCTTTTCTCTGTATAACCTAACACAGAAAATTAACTACACTTTTATTAGCTCCTTTATCTTATTTAATGGCTGTTCTTCGGGAAGAAGAAAAGTCTATATTGTAAACTTTTAAAATGAAGTAATATAAAAGGGATGGAATATAAAGATACAGAATATATGTAACGTAGAAGATACGCAATTACAAGTAAAGCATGAAATTGTGTTTTAGTTGCTCAGTGGCTAGCCAAACAGTTTTCTAACACACATCAGAATTTTAAAGTTCAAAGAAAATCCATGAATTGGCAGAACTAAATTCCTATTTGCCCTGCATTTCTTAGGTCCTAGAGCATACAGTAAATGTTGAATCTTCAAATATCAAAAATCTGTGTGTGGCTGAGTGTACTATACCATCGGGTAACAAACATTTTCTAAATAAATGTTCAAATAATAAATATATTCACTTGTTTATATAAACATAAATAAATGTACATATCAATATGTATCTATCAATTTACATATGCTATATCTTCATATACAAGTATATATACATTTATTTATCTGATTTATTTAACAGATTTCCAAGCACTTTGAAATTTGCTGTTCTTCATATATATACACATATATACACACACACATATGTGTGTATATATAAACTATATATATGTGTGTATATATATGGGTTATTTTTTATTTATTTATTTATTTACTTATTTTGAGACGGAGTCTCGTTCTGTTGCCCAGGCTGGATTGCAATGGCTCGATCTCGGCTTACTGCCACCTGCATCTCCCGGGTTCAAGCGATTCTCCTGCCTCAGCCTCTGGAGTAGCTGGGTTTGCAGGCACCCGCCATCATGCCCAGCTAATCTTTGTATTTTTGTAGAGACGGGGTTTCACCTGTTGGCCAGGCTGGTCTTGAACTCCTGACCTCAGGTGATCCACCTGCCTCGGCCTCCCAAAGTGCTAGGATTACAGGCATAAGCCACCATGCCCGGCCTGTTTTTTCATACTTTAATCATGGGTTTTGTTTGTTTTTTAAGAGACGAGGTAGTCACTTTGTTACCCAGGCTAGAATGCAGTGGTGCAATCATGGCTTACTGCAGCCTTGAACTCCTCGGCTCAAGTGATCCTACTGCCTCAGTCTCCCAAGTAGCTGGGACTACAAGCATACTCCACCACACACAGTTTTAAAAATTTGTGTTAGAAGCCCTGGCGCGGTGGCTCAAAATTTGTGTTAGAAGGCCCAGCACTTTGGGAGGCCGAGACGGGCGGATCACGAGGTCAGGAGATCGAGACCATCCTGGCTAACACGGTGAAACCCCATCTCTACTAAAAATACAAAAAAATTAGCCGGGCATGGTGGCAGGCGCCTGTAGTCCCAGCTATTCGGGAGGCTGAGGCAGGAGAATGGTGTGAACCCGGGAGGCGGAGCTTGCAGTGAGCCGAGATCACGCCACTGCACTCCAGCCTGGGTGACAGAGCGAGACTCCGTGTCAAAAATAAATAAATAAATAAACAAATAAAATAAAATAAAATAAAATTTATGTTAGAGATGGAGTCTCACTATGTTGGTCAGGCTGGTCGTGAACTCCTGGCCTCAAGTGATCCTCCTACCTCACCCTCCTGAGTAGCTGGGATTCCAGGTGTGCACCACTGTTACCAGCCACAATATATTTAAATTAAAGTTTGTATTTTGAAAAAAAAATTATAGATTCATATGCAATTAGAATATAGAGAGATCTCTGTACCTTTTACCCAGTTTTCCACAATAGTAACATCCTGTTAAACTATAATACAATATCACAACCAAAATAATACATTAATATAATCAAGATACAGAACATTGTCATGGCAATAAAGATCTCTCATGCTGCACTTTTATAGCCACATCGTCTTTCTTCCCAACCAACAAACGTTCCTTCATCACTGGCAACCACTAATTTATTCTCCATTTCTTTAATTTTATTTTTTAAATGTTATATAAATGGAATTATACATGATGCAAACTTTTGGGATTGACTTTTA
Source organism: Homo sapiens (assembly GCF_000001405.40). Taxonomy (NCBI): domain Eukaryota; kingdom Metazoa; phylum Chordata; class Mammalia; order Primates; family Hominidae; genus Homo; species Homo sapiens. The sequence continues at coordinate 153,776,247 of NC_000003.12, forward strand.
TCACTCAGCATAATTTTATGGAGTTGCATCCAGGTTATTTCATGTATCAGTAGCTCATTCCTTTTTATTATTGAGCAGTGTACCATGGTATGGATTATGAGAGTTTATTTAACCATTAACCTGTTGAAGGATTATCTGGGGTGTTTCCAGTTTGGGGCTGTAAATGTTTTTGTATAGGCTTTGGTGTAAATGTAAGCCTTAATTTCTCTGTGATATATGTCCATGAGTGCAATTGCTAGATTCTATAATAGTTGCAAGCTTAAGATTCTAAGAAGCTGACAAAATGTTTCCAGAAGGGCTGTATCACTTTACATTTCCATCAGTAATGTATGAGTGATCCAGTTTCCCCACATCCTCACAAGCACTTGGTGTTCCTGTTATTTTTTATTTTAGTGATTCTGACAAATTTAGAGTGGTATTTCATTGGCTAATCATGTAGAACATCATTTTCTGTACTGATTTGCCATCTGTATATCCTCATCAGTGAAATATTTTTATGGCTTTGCCCATTTTTTAGTTGGATTCTATTTTTACTGTTGAGTTTTGAGAATTATTTATATAGTGTAGGTACCAGTCCTTTGTTGGATATGTGACTTGTGAATATTTTCTCCCAGTTAGTGACTTCTTTTCTCTTATCAAGGTCTTTTGCAGAGCAAAAAATATATATATTATTTATGAAATTCAATTTATCAGTTTTTTTTCTTTCATGGATTATTCCATTGGTTTCAAATCTAGAACACTTGTCTGAGCTTTCAATCTGGAACGCTTTCCCCTGTATTTCTTTCCTTAAAGTTTCATAGTTTTACATTTCACAATTAAGTGTGTGATTTATTTTAAGTTAATGTTTGTATAAGGTGTGAGAATTGGGTCAAGTCATGGTCTGTCTGACATGGTTTGATCATAGAGAACACATGCTGGTTTGCAGAGAACTCTGTTTCCTTTCTAAGAGCTCACAAGCTGTCATTTGATTAATCCATTGCAGCATCTTCCAAAAAATTGTGGTGAAGTTTTTGTTTGTTAGTGTGTGGAATCCAACTTCTTCATGGTTTCAAAATTTTGATTTTTTGCTACTGTTTCCCATGACTTTTCAGAATGATTTTGTGATTTCCATCTCCACAGCTTACCATGAAAACAGAGATCTAAACCTGAGACCTAAAGTTGTTCAACACAGATGTTTGCTTGATTTCTAGATCTTTATATATCTTGGGCCTCAATTCCTTCTCAACTATATAGTTTTTGATTTATAGTTTTTACATTATTCTGATCAATAAAATGAAAGCAGACCAAATAGCCTCTGCTTTCTTTAAGGAGGTCTGCTTTATCTCAGAAATTTGTTAGTATTTGTTCCCCGGCATTTTGTGGAGTTTGAGGTTTGTAATGCAGTGGGGGAAATGTGGGGCAAATAATGTGTGGAGTAGATGATTTATAAAGTTAGCATTCCAGATGAGACAGAGAATAAAGTTTGATTTATTAGAGTAGTTGAAAGACAGTTTCACTAATTGCCATGTGGGAGAGAGCAGAAAGTAGAACACCTGGCAACTGCAAGCTTCTCGCGATACCATGTAAGCTGCGTGGACTGTTCCAGTTGATCTTGGCTCATCCTGAAGAAAGCGGATGAACTCGGAATGTAGACATTCTGTGTACTCCCAGGACCCAATTTTACCCAGAATATCTAAATTTAATGTTGTCTCACTTTCTGAGAGCACCAAAGCAGCCACAGTCCTAGGAGAAGGAGGGAAATGAATAAATGGACGTGCACCCAAACTCACAACTTGATTTGTTAAGACATTCTGGTTGTAGGGCCAATTCTGTGTCCATCAATATATAGGAAAGTCTGCATCATACTGATGTCCACTGATGAATGACTGTATTTAGCAATGAGTTTCAAAGTTTCTTCCCCTTACTTCTGTTATCACAGATATTATCAAGTAGGAAATAAACTGATTAGTTTCTGTTCTCTCCTTTCTTATGCTAGTTAAACCTTGAAAGGAGAACTAATATTTACAGTATACCAACAGTATGCTAAATACTATATAAATACACATGTACATCTCTTTGTAAGTTATATAAGTGTTTAATCCTTATGAGAATATGATAAGACATTTATTTTTATTTTCCTTTCCAAGATAAAGAAACTGAAATCCTTGAGATAAGTAAGCTGGTCATGCCCACAATACTAACAAGTAGCAGAGCTGGGATTGAAACCGGGTATACTGAATTCAAATATGTTCTCTTCACTATCGAGATTCATTTCTTAAAACAAACAATAGTAAGAAAACCAAGTGACAAATTGGCAGCAAACAAGAAGTCACTATGATGGAGAAACAATGGTAATTTAACCAAGAAAAGTTCTAGCTAATCTACAAAGTAATGGTCTTCAGGCTTTGAGAAATTCAGAATTCGTGAATGTAGAATATTTTATAGAATTTTTAAGGTAATGTTTATTTGTGGTTTTTAAGGCTTGTAGGGAAATACACTATAATTTAATGTGGAACTGAAAAAATGCTTAAGTAGAAAGCAGTTGGAGTGTGTCTGTGGAGAATTAGAGATCTGTAAAAACATAAAAACAATGGTAAAAATTGTATCACTTCCATAGTTGCTTGGCAAAAAGTTTGTATGACCCTATTGAACACTCAACTTCATATTGTTGCTTGTTTTTAATTGTTTCTTGCATTATATTCTTTCCTCCTCAGCCATAGCTTAAGTTCTTTGAAGACTAGATTTTAAATGTCTCTGGATGCCAGATACGAAATATGGTGCATGTTACATTTATTGCTCTGCTAGAGATTATAATTTTTGATTTCTTCAAAGCAGATAGTGCCAAGCATACTGGAAAATGCTTATGAATTGATTATTTCTTTGTATGTATGTTTCTGATTGTGACATGATACTGGTTATTTTGTATTTACAGATAAACCACAAATTCATCTTCTTCCATGCTTTGTGATAAAAGAATTGGGCCCTGAAACTTTCTTCTTTGCCACCCAGCAAGATGTTCATCCTTGTCAATAGAGGATGCTGAAGGGAGACTTGGGGAGAAAGGAGTTTTCTTTTTTTGGTTCAGGCGTGGCTCTCTTGCCAGACTCCAGCAGAGAGTGTTTTCTCTATTGCTTGGCCCACAGTTTCTCCCGTGCTCAGTTCCTAAGGAATGCTCCTTTCTCCAGTATTTGGCTGCAGTGCAATCCTTCCAGCTCTCTACTCAAGCAGTGGTGGTATACCTGGGAGCCCAAGAGCATGCAGGCTGGTGCCCCAGCCCAGGTCACTGTTCCAAACCTCAGGAACGTACATGCCCAGGACTGCATAAGGCTGGGCATCTAGCAAGCTGGCCACCTGACTTTTATCCCTGCAAATGTCCTAGAGATACTCTGGTCCAATCCAAGCACAAAAGTGAACTAAACGCTGCAGAAGAAAGCCCCTCCAGCACCCAGTTCCACAAGTGCTCAGCAGCCCACAGCTTCCCTCAGCACCTAGAAAGTTCTGAGGCTCCAAAATTTCCTGCAGTCAGCCTTCTCCAACATCCCCGAGGAAGACTTCAGGCACGTTCTCCTAGCCCAACACTGCTGGGACTTCTCTGCCAGTAAGCAGAGCCAGTAAGCTACCTCTGTCCCCGCTCCAGAGAGGCCTGGACCTCAGCCTGGATCAGGAGGGCCTTTCTCTGCGTGCTGTATCTCACCGTGGGTGTAGTGGCTGTTTCTTATATCAGTTATCTCTGTATTCTTTAGAGATCTCTTTAATTCCTGTAAAGAAGAATGAGGGGGGACCCAACTTTATAACTTCATTTAAACCTAATTACTTCCCAAAGGCTTCACCTCCGAATACCATCATATTGAGCGTTAGGGTTTCAACATATGAATTGAAAGGTGGACACAAAAAATGTTCAGTCCATAATAATTTTATGGAGAAATTAGGTATTGGTCTACCATTTTTATATTAGTCTATCATTTTAATATGAAGCCATTTTAACATGTTAGGTCTAAAAAGGACAGGTAAAAGTCATCTAGGTCATTGCTTGGACTTCAAGTTCAATTGTCAAATAACTCAATAATTAAGACTTAGGAATGAAGAATTATTTCTCTACTATTAGAACTGTGGTCAGCAATTCTAGATAAGTTTTTTAATTACTCAGCTAGAAGTTAAAATCTTTGTAGTCCTATCGCTATTTATATTATATCCATGTGAAAAAATCTTAAATCTCTAAGCGAAAATTCATATGATATATTATAATCAGACTCAATTTTTATATTTGTAAACATTTCTCCATTGATTATTACCTTTTTAACATTCAAGCTGATATCCTAATTACAGAAAATGACATTTTAAAATCTAGGATAATCATTTGAAAAGAGTGAAGAATTAATTTTCCAGGCAAAACTAGAAACGGAATAAAAAGATTAAATAAATAAAATAAAAATATATGCTTAATCTCAAGAATAATTCTCTAAAATTTGTTTCTGTAAAGATGAAATGAATTAGTGATAAATGGTACTAGTCAATTCTGTAGTGTGTGTGTGTGTGTGTGTGTGTGTGTGTACAAATTGGCAAAATTGCATTTGGCAGAGTTGCATATATATTATATATACAGAGTTGTACATATGTTGTGTATTAGATATACAACTCTGCCAATTCCCTTCTCAGTTCTACTTCATAATAGCTATATGAGTTTGGGAAAATGTCTTAAACCTCTTTAGAGGGCAATTTTTTAATCAAGAAAATAAGTATAATAAAATTATCTTGCAAATTGTTGTAAGTAATAATAGATATGAACACATGGAAAGTCTCAAAAAATATGTCTTCTCTGTTCCCTTCCTCAGGAGTCTGGCGGATAATGTGCTCCACCTGACCAACAAAAGGAAAATAGCGTATTCAAGAAGCAAGAAATTCAACAAAGGAGTGAATTAGAGGGAATTCACATCCTGCCTCCAGGTGATGTTGATAGGAGACTCAGGTTAACTACTATGTTAGAGCAGGAAGATGGAGGGCAAGAAGAACATAGCTAAAAAAAACCCCAAATCTGATAGATTATGTATTGTGTTTGAAGATGTCAAGAGGGTATGAATAACTGATTGATCCACAGAAAAGTAAACAAAAATAATAGCTATCAATTCCAAGGATAGTCAACACTGTATGACAAAAGGACATAAAATAAAATTATGCCACATGGCTCTGTGGTGACTAATATTTACAGTCAGAATGCTGTCTACAGTAATGAGCTAATCATAATATATTGGGATGATGGAAGGAGGGGTGTAAGAGAGATAAACCTTCACCTCTTCATAACAGAAAGCCATAGGTAATGCATAAAACTGAAAAAGAAAATCAAGAAATGGAAGTACGAGCATTTTCTGTAATGATGATAAATACCAGAAGAAATAACTAAAAGTAAAATAATTTTGCAAAGGGCATAACGATACCATTGCAATTCCCTGCCTGATCCATTCCCATCTCCAGTGTCTTCTTCCCAGAGGAAACTACTTTCACTCTTTTAGCTATTTCATTTGGTATTTACCACCATATTTCTAAAAGTAAAGATTAATTTTTTAAAGAAACAGACTGTAGTATATCTACCTATCATAGGCTCTATTTCATGGTAAGTAGCTGCTACTAGTTGCATGTTGTTGTTATTGTCGTTGTTAAATGAAGAAAACTAAGTTGTGTTATGAGCATTGGAATGCATCAGGAGACACACCATTAGAATGGTCAAATATTTCAAAGTGCTGCCTAAGGAGCCCTTGGCACTCATAGGCAGCAACGTGGACTTTTTTGTACTACATGTCCCTATGCAGACACAGAGATATAATTAACAGAAAGGGAAAAGGAAAGGGGAGTGAGAAAGTTGAAGAGTCTGAATGTTATTTCAACTTAATAAGATCAATAAACTAGAATTGTCCTCTTACAAGAGAAGAAATACCTTGGCACCCCACAGTATTTCAAATATGTCAGAGGATAATAGTTAATACCTACATAGAACTTACTATTGGTCAAGCATACTACTCAAGAAGAGGCATACATTATTTCCATCAATACTGATGACAACACTATGGGATAAATATACTGTTTTTTATTTCCCACTTTACAGATGAGGAAACTGAGGAGCAGATTAAGTAATTTGGCCAAGATTATGCAATTAGTAAATGAAGAGCCTGGTCTCAAACCCATATAACACAGCTCTGTGATCCTTGCTTTTTATCATTAATCCATGAAATGGGATCCATATAGAACCAAGCTCAGGTCTATGTCTTTTTCTGCTATTAGACTCTGGTAGGGGAAAGTTAGGCAGGGAAGGATAAACTGGAACTCTGTGTCAGAGGAGGTTTCTCTGTGTTGGTGATGCTGTCAGGTAGAGGGAGGAGGTAAGTAAAATGAGCTGATTGTTAGCAAATATGCATTTGAGGTTACTACTGTGCCCACAGCCTACCCTGGACCCACAGTTAACATATTAATGGTATATGCTGTATGTATATATACTCCTCCCATAAGCCTAAACACAGCCTCCCAGAATGGGAACCCTCTGTGGGATGAAGGGGAGAGAAAATGACATCAGTCAGGAGTAAGAAGTACACTTATTTTCTGCTCAAGAGTAGGAAAGGGTCTGCCAAGGGAGAGGGTGTTTTAGAGCCAACCATGGCCGTGCTAATGCACCCCACTCATGGAAAAGTTAGAGGAAGAGAAGGACAAATCACAGAACCCTAGATCAAAAGTGCTCTGAAGAAAAGATATTTCTTAACTCTCCCGAGCTTTAATTATGTTTAAAAAAGAAAAATTAAACAAATTTAAAAGAAATGAAAACATTATCAAGAATCTGATTATTAGGGACTGGAGAAGGGAAGACTTGCTGCAAATGGGTTCAGATATTATACATTATCAGTAAAACTGTTTCAAAGCTTGAGTGCATCCTAATCCCCACCTAAGGAGACTAGAACATGTTCTCAGATTTCCTGGAGAGTGACTTAAGAGCACATAATATATACCCTTTGGAATATAAGCAAGACCAGTTCGTAAAGTATCTCATTGCAGAGCAGCTTAAATTCCTGCTCCTTCCCAGCTGTGCTCAGACACTTGGCTGCCAGCAGAGAGAAAAGACAGAGCTCCCCAGAGACCCACAGAGTCAGTGTGCTTTGCTGCAGGGAGTTTAGCTTTCAAGGAAGAGATAACTATTAACCCTTTGCTTGGTGACTGTACACATCTACATGCAAAATGAATTATATTTCATACAAGAATTTGCTTTTCCTAGTTCCTGAATCTGATGTCGTCTAGGAACATTGATTCCCTTAGAGATATATGTGGGCCCTACTTTGGGAATTCTATGGGCCAGCCACAGTTACTTTTCCATTGTAAAGCCTGGGCTGGTAGGAGTGGGCTGTGAAGCCCATGTTACGCAGTATTAGAGGAGGCAGGGAGGCTCTACTTCTTGTTAACCACATCCCTCCACCCAAAGAGGAATCTTCCTTAACTTTTTGGGATGGCCTCTTGTTACTGATAGCTTTAGTGGCTTACTGCTTTTGTCTTCCAGAACCTATTTCTACCAATAATAACAAAAGAATAAGAGATTAAAACATCTTGCCGAGCCTCTGTAAACACACAGGTCTAAGGAACTTACTCCTAGGATGTGGGTGGTATCAAAGGAATAGCAAAGTGCTGCAGCATCTTAATATGACTGTTTTAAGCTGTGAGACATTTTTTAAAATTCCATCACTAAGTTATGCAACAATTTTAGCTGCTTTGAGTAATTAAGAGGGTGTTGTTCCTAAGAGTCCCCATGTGCCTGTAGTACAAACAGCTGTCCAACATCTGCCAAGAGTTAAGAACGAACACATTGAGGAAACTTGCTTTTGTTCATGAACAACAAACCTTTCATGACAGTCAGTTTACAAAAAACAATAAGCTTTTATTTTGTTGAAATTATGTTTTTGATTTCTGGCATTACAAAAGGAGTATTTAAAATGTAAATTGATTCACAGTGGTCCTGTTAACTGAGGCCAGCTGTGCAGATGAGGACTGGACATCATATGTTCTCATTTACTCTTCTTTCCTGAGTTTCCTCCATAGGCACCCTCCCAGCACACCTGCAAACACATTCTGCCATCTTCTCAATGTCATTAACGTGCAAACAAATGAAATGGATTCACAATTTATAGGTCCCTGGGGAAAAATGCTTTCAACATTTCATAGAATAAGAATTAAACTTTTAATCTACTAAAATGAAAAATGCACAAATCCTATGACCTAGCAAATTTCTTTCTTGATAGCTACTATTTCAGTCAGCATTTCACCACAGAAGCAGTTTTATTAGGAAGTATTAGGTTGGCGCAAAAGTAATTGTGGTTTTTGCCATTACTTTTAAAAACCCATAATTACTTGTATTAGGAATTTGACCTTATGCAATTGTGGGAGCTCACTGCACAGTCTATATGAGACTGTCGTGTTTGTGCCTGATGCTGGAAGGTACAGCTCACAGGGCAGTCAGGAAGGGAAGTCAGGAGGAAGGGAAGACAGAAAGTGATGTAGGGGAAGACAAAATGACCGACATTCTAGAACCTGGAGGCTGAGGCTAAAACAACAAGGAAGAATGGAAACCTGCATTAGTCTCTCAACACCACCAAACCTCTCACTTAGATGATTAGGCTGTTCTGCAGGAGAGGTTGGCATGTGTCATCATGAAGCTAACCATGCACCTTTCCCAGGAGTAAGAGAAACTGATGCCAGATGTTCAGCTGGAGTTGGCCTAGTTGTGGCCCAGCTCCTGCCCCATGCTGGTCATACAAGCCAGTAGATAAGCCTATTGTATGTGTGTGAGCTCCAACGATGAGGCCTGGTGCCTAGCTCTGCCTTGCCAAGCATAAAAGGGATTATGGCTCCTGCCAACTTCCACCTTCCCAATCTCGCACACAATGTCTCTCAGAGCCCACCCTGTATAGGAATTACGTAAGAAAGGGAATTCTGAGACGCATAATTCCAATTTAGTAAAGTTGAAATAGAAATCTGTCATACTACTTAGATAGAGACTCATATGCCCAAGGAGTAAGCACAGAATATGCAGGCTACATTCTGTTTATGAAAAATTAGAAATATTTTAAAGGTTTTTTAATACCTGAGCTATATCCACATAAGACATATTGCAATTCCAGCTAATGAGGTTGAGATATGTATTAACATGGCAGAAGTTATATGTATTGTATGTGAGCATGTTTTTAAAACATACAACATGAAATTGTATGAAACAGCTCTATAAGCACATTTGTTCATGTATTCAATATATGTTTACCATCTATTTTATGCTAGGTTCTCTTGTAAGCACAAGGAATACAGCAGTAAAACAAACAAAAAATTCTCTCTGCCTCCAGGGAGCTAATATTCTAGCTGAGGAGACAGACAATAAAAAAGTGAATAAGTAAAAAATATCATGGCTTAGGTGGCGATAAGTGCTATCAAGGCAAAGAAAGCTGGGAAAAGGAATAATGAACATTGGGGGTACTGCAATTTTAAAGGAGGAGGCCAGGGATGTCCTCACTAAGAAGATGATATTTAATTAAAGATTCAAAGGAGATGAGAGAGCCAGCCATGTGAATATCTGGAAAAATATGTTCTAGGCAGAGAAACTAGTAAGTACAAAAGCCTCGGGACAGGAATGGGCCTGGTGTGCAAGAGGAATAACAAAGAGATTCGTGTGGGGAGATGTAACCAAGGAGGAGCAGAATAAACTGGGGGTCAGGCCTAGCAGTGCCTTGCAGGCTGTAATGCATCCTTTGGGTTTTACTCAGAGAGAGATGGAAGCCTTTGGAGGGTTTCAAGTGGTGAATTTATTTATTAAAGCATGTCGTCCTGGCTGCTATGTTGAGACTACACCATAGAGAGACCAGAGTGAGGCACCAGTGAGTCAGCTACGACAATAATCAACATGAGAGATGGGGTGGCTTGGACTGGGGTGCTGTTGGAGATGAAGAAGTAGCTGGATTCTGAAGATATTTTAAAGGTAGAGCCAACAGGATTATCTAACATACTGGAAGTGGGCTGTATGAGAAAGAGAGGAGTCAAGGTGACTTTAAGCAGAGCTTTTTAGCCTGAGCAGCTGAGGTACAGGAAGTCATGGAAATCATAGATTTAGAAGAGATAATTTTAGACTGGTTCAAGTCTGAGACACCTATCTGACATTCTAATTGAGATGTCAAGTGGTCTTTTTGCAGCCAAAATCATATTCAACCCATATTAAAGATAGGCTTGACTCCTTGTAGCACTAATAATGTGTGGTGGACGATATTGCAGAATTAACTGGCTTACAGGTAACCCCCAGAAGTTCAGAAAGTATTTCTAAGGTACCAAATGTGTATTTGGAAATAAAGGATTAGCTGACCTTCATTTCGCAATCATCTTTTTTATTCTACCTACTGCCTTTTTAACCACAAACACAAACATTCAGGCAAAATGAGAAGGAATTTAGCTAATAAGCCACTTGAGTTAAATATTTTTTTCTCTTTAAAGATAATCAGTTGTTTGGCTAAAGCTTTTCAAACATTTAAATATGTAGATGCAGTTACTTTTCTGCCTGTTTTATTAGACTTATGTCAGAAAGAAAACGATCTACATGCCCTATGTCATCATTATCCTTTTGTTTCTCAGCAATCTTCCAGGTTTGTGAATATTAGCTTCCTGAAATAAATGTACTCAAATTCACTGTGAAGAATGAATGACTTCTAAGGTTTTGGTAATCTGGTCAGGTGAATCTAGTTTCATGGAAACAATGCAAGGCTATAAAACATCTTACCCTGAAGCACTTAAAATATGGATGCTGCGATATGAATGGATGGTGTGAATAGCAAAAACATTTTTTAAAATCACAAACTTATGTTATTTTTAATTTTCTACTGTCAACTTTTTAAAAACAATTCATAGGCAATTGTTTCCATTAATATGGAAGAATCATCTTGTCTTTCTTTTTTTTTAAGTTTCCCAGATATGAAGGACTGTGAGACTAAATAAATCATTATATATTCCACAAGCAATTCTCCTGCGACAGCCTTTCAAAAAAGAATTAGGAAGCCTGAATATTAAATGCCAGCAACCCATGACTAGGATAAGGTCAGTTTCAAGGATAAAGACATTTTTGAATTGAGCAGTTTGTCACACTTACGTAAAAACAATTTGAACAATAAGCCTTTGTTATTGTATGTCTAATTTATGAAGAAAGCCATTACCCTCAGTAACTTCACTTACAAAAAGGGAAAGTATACGCATCCTCTCTCTCCCCTTCTATCCTTCTATCTCTCTCTCTCTCTCTCTCTCTCTCTCACACACACACACACACACACACACACACACATATACACTGATCACAAAATTGAATGTCAGTGGCTTTTTTTTTTTTTTTTTTTTTTTGAGACAGAGTCTCGCTCTGTCGCCCAGGCTGGAGTGCAGTAGCGCAATCTCGGCTCACTACAAGCTCCGCCTCCTGGGTTCAAGAGATTCTCCTGCCTCAGCCTCCTGAATAGCTGGATTACAGGCATGTGCCACCACACCCAGCTATTTTTTGTATTTTTAATAGAGACAGGGTTTCACCATGTTGCTCAGGCTGGTCTCAAACTCCCGACCTTAGGTGATCCACCCGCCTCGGCCTCCAAAAGTGCTGGGATTACAGGTGTAAGCCACCGCGCCCAGCCTGTCAGTGGCTTTTAATTCAATTAAAATATACATCTTTACAGAGAATACAAGCAAGTCTAGCCTGTTGATAATGTTTGGAAGACTTTTCATGTGGAAACAATATCTATTTTTGCATCAGTATTGATTTTTCAAGTTTAAACTGTCATCATTAATGGCACTAGTCTTTATGTGAATATTATTAACTCACACTGAAGACTATATATTGAATCAGAAGCCAACCTAACTGCACAATACTTTTTTGTACTATTAAAACTACACATACATTTGGGAGTAATAAATTAACTATTTCTTTATTCACTGATTTCTATGAATTTATTAACAAAATTTCTAAAATATGAATAGCTCTACATGTGCACAGAACCGTCCTTACTGTTGGAGTCATATGAATATTTGCCGGATGTTGTTAGGTATGATAATGCATTTTAATTAAGTAGCAGTATACCCACATTTTTAAGGGTATATTGCATCACATGCACATTGGGGTATGCGTGATGTCTGACTAATTTAAAATGCCTCACAAAATGAAATCAATAAAGCAAAAATACAAAATCTTAATAATTAATAATTATGGGTGATGTGTTTATGGGAGTTGATTATATTATTCTCTATGTGTATGTTTGAAATTTTTTATACTAAAACATAAAATCAATCACTTCTGTCAGTCAGCTTCCTCTTTATAAACAGTAAAATTTCAAATGCAGAATTATGATTATTTCACACTGTGGTCTTTATATTAATAAGCCTGAAAATATGCTAAAAAAATGTAGGCAGACTATTTCCAAAGATAGAGTAGGAAAGCTAACATTGACGGAAAACATACTCTTTTCAGGCACTGTAGGCATGATAGCATTTAACCCACACAATAATCCTCTGTAATTTCCATATTGCAGATGGAAAAATTGAGACCTAGAAACAGGCTAAGTAACTTGCCAAATTCAAACAAAATAGTAAGGCTAGAGTTGGGATGCAACTCTAGAGCTAATTGCCTCTGAATATAGTTCTTTTATTTTTATTTTTTTTTTGAGATGGAGTCTCTCTCTGTTGCCCAGGCTGGAGTGCAGTGGCGCATCTTGGCTCATTTCAACTTCCGCCTCCCAGGTTCAAGCAATTCTCCTGCCTCAGCCTTTTGAGTAGCTGGGATTACAGGTGCCCACCACCATGCCCAGTTAATAGGGATGCGGTTTTACCATGTTGCCCAGTCTGGTCTCAAACTCCTGACCTTAGTGATCCGCCTGCCTCGGCCTCCCAAAGTGTGGGATTACAGGCATAAGCTACCGTGCCTGGCTCTAAATAGAGTTATGTCTTAACTAGACTGCTGGGTCTTTAGAATAAATTTCTGAAAAAAATTCTCCACCATTAATACTAATTAAAAGAACTAAATCACAGATCTGATCCTGTATCATTTCTGATCAAAGATTTTTAAATGTCCCCTTATTAGCTAAGATATAGCAAACAAAATTCCACAGAAGCTTGCCCATCCAACCTCAGTTCTCACAGACCCCTCCATAACCACTTACCTCCTGGCCATTGTGATCTGTGGTTCCTTTTCCACACGCAATTCCCTCTACTTCAAATGTCCTGCACCTCTGGCAAAAACAAACACCTCATCTTCCAAGAGCCAGTTCAAATGTCAATTTGAGTTTTCTGAACCTCCCTGGAAAGGTTACATGCTCCTACCCTAACACTGCCAAAAGCCCTGTGTGACAGTGGGTGGAGTACTTGTCACACAGAGCTAGAAGGACAACTCATATATTGTTCTTTTCTACTTGCCACAATTCGTGTGTGTGCGTGTGTGTGTGCATGTGTGTGTGTTTTAATCCCATGGTCTTTAAACCAAAGACTGAGGAGACAGTAGTCAGGCAAGAGGCAATGGAGGCCTTAAATATGTCAGGGCCAAAGCAATGAAAAGAAGAGACACCTGCAAGGGAGATTGGGGAAGTAGCCAGCAACAAAATTTGGCCCCTGCCTCTGGAGGGTGATGGGTTGTGTTCTGTCATTTCCCCCTGCCTCTCTGTGTTCATGTTCTCTCTTCCCTTTCCTGATTCCTTCTCCCTAGGTTTTAAATGTTCTTGAATATCTCAGGTAAAACAAACCAATCAAAAATCCAGAAACCTCTTTGAACTCCACAGCCATACACTAGATCACCTTTTACTCACATCCAATCATCCTACAAGAGTAGTCTTTTCTTTTTCTATTAATGTTCCACCCACTGCCATCTGGCTCCTGCCCCTGCCACTCTACTGACATGTTTACAAGTGGCCTCCTAGTGGCCTTCTAATTGCCAAATCTAAACAATAATTTTTAGCCTTCATCCTCCTACATCCACCTGTTGCATTTGACATTCTTAAACCCAGTCTTTTTGAAAATATCCCTTCCTTTGATTTCTGGTACCCTGCAGGTCTGGCCTTTCTCCTCTGCCATCATGTAGACTCCTTTTACTTTGACTATTTAAGTGTTCCCCAACATTTAAGGGTCCTTTCCTTGGGCCCAGTGTTCTCTTTTTACACGGTCTCTTTACATATCTACCATCGTAATCCAATCACCACCTAATGATACCCACATCTGTTTCTCTAGCTTCAGCCTCATACATTCAGCTGCCTGATATTTGAATGACCTGTAAACAGCACAGTCTTGCCATGCTCCAAACTAGATCAATAGAGTCACAATACAATGGCTGCCCTTATTCCACATTATTTATCCCTAGTGGTGACTATGCCATCCACGCAAGATAGAAATCTACAAGTCATCCTTGATGTCTTACTTAAAGTTACTTTCCACTTAAAATCTATCAAGACCTGCTAGTATCAATAGCTTGATGTATTTCACCCTCCCCTTCACTCTCATTTTCAGTAGTTTTCCGAGTTTTTCTGACTTAAAATTTTTTTTTTAATTTTAAGATCCGGGGTACCGGGGCAGGATGTGCAGGTTTGTTACATAGGTAAACATGTGCCATGGTGGTTTGCTCACCTGTCAACCCGCCACCTAGGTATTAAGCCCAGCATGCATTAGCTGTTTTTACTGATGCTCTTTCTTCCCCCCACCCCCTGGCAGGCCCCAGTGTGTGTTTTTCCCCTCCCTGTGTACATTCTCATTGTTCAGTACCCACTTACAAGTGAGAACACGAGGTGTTTGGTTTTCTGTTCCTGTGTTAGTTTGCTGAGGATAATGGCTTCCAGCTCCACCCATGTCCCCCCAAAGGACATGATCACACTCCTTTTTATGGCTGCATAGTATTCCGTGCTGTATATCTGACTTGAATTTTTAAACACTTCTCAAATATACTTCTTTCTCGCCAAACCTAGTAAAGGCTTCTTAAACTCTCTCTGCTTACCCCTGTTTCAGCCTAGGCTTCTAACTCCTCTCCCTATTTCTGTCATTCTCCCTTCAGAAAGGTCCATCAGCACACAGCCACCAGCACGATAAGTCTAAAACACATACCTGACCATGCCTAAAACTCTTCAATGACACTTCAGACTATAGGGGTGAATCATGGTTTGTTTGGTTTTTTTTAGGATGGTATATAAAGCTCTCAGTTATCTAGTTCAACTGCTTTTATAGTTTTTAAAATAAAGACCCACAATAAGAGAAATATCTTTGTTATGTTTCAGCATACACATACATTTAAATAAAACAACATATACCTTTACTATATATGATGTTGATTTCTAGTCTATTCTCTTTTTTTAAAAATTGGCAATCCATATTGATTTGAAAAGTGCTGGTCTAGCATCAGTTTACCTCTAAAGTCTCACCTTGCTATTATTACTTCCAACACATATAGGATACTCAAGCAATACCACACTGAATTAACAAATGAACAAATTAATGATACTTCAGAGATTTCATAAAGATGCTGTAATTGTGTTTTCTGAAAAACCTAACAAGTTGGAAAGTGGAAGAAATGATTAAGATTTGCCAGATAGACTATATAAATACAAAACTCACAAGCAAGCTGTGTCTGTTATCTTTAGCCATGTAACAAATCACTTCCAAAGTTTAGTGGCTAAAAACAACACAATTTCTTATTTCTCATGAATCTGTGAGTTAGCTGGTTGGCCCCTCTATGGTTTCACCTGAGCTCACTCACACAGCTGCATTCAGCTAAAACAAAAAAAGGGCCATGATGGCCTCTCTCAAATGCCTGGTGGTTGGTGTTGACTGTTGGCTGGGTGTCTCAGCTGTTCTGCATGTGGCCTCTCATTTTCCAGTAAGCTAGATGGGTCTCTTCCATGAAGTTTTAAGACAGCATCCAAGAGAGCAAAGGTGGAAGTGGCAAGGCCTTTTGAGGCCTTGGCTTTGAAGTACTCACAATGTCACTTTAGGCAAAGCAAATCACAAGACTAGCCAAGACTCAAAGAGTGGGAAATAGAATCTACCCCGGGTTTCTCAGTAATCAGCTTAACAGTCCTCCTGTTCTCATTGATTATCCCTCCTATATTCCACTGCCCTTCTTCTTTCCTTTGTCCTTTCTACTGTGGCATCTGTAATCTAAAAATGATGGGCAGGCAAGTTCTTGATATGAAGAGATACAGAAGAAGTAGAAAATAAGGAGGCATTTTAAAAACAAAACAAAAAAACAACCATCAATTGAAAGCTGGTTTAGCTAGGAATTTCTGATGTTGGATGTTGACACTCTTCATTTGAAGAATGTGTATCTGAGCTCAGATACTACAGACCCTTACAAATTGTGTTTGGTTTATACTCACCTGGAAAAGAGAATGGCCTTGAGCCCTGGGGCTAACACTGTCTTTGGAAGTACTGACTCCAGATTTCTCTCTTCTTATGAAGTCTCCCTCACTCAGACTTACCCTCTTGATATCCCATATGTTCACATGGATCTGTAATTGACCTCATTTCTTGTTTTATAGCCTGTCATAGGTTAATCTCCAATAAATACTGTACCACAAGTACAGCCAAGGAAAGTTTGTGCACAGCCTGATGAAGTGAACCTCTTACTCCACTCACCAATCAGCTACAATTTTTCCTACGGCTACGATAAAAGAACAGATTTAGCATAAAGCTCTTAAAACCAGGAACAGGGCAAAAGCAAAATGTCAATGCTTGTCAAGTACCTTCACAATGATCTTCAGGTTATTTAATACAGTCTGTTTTCATCAGTCTGTCCCAATTCCTAAAAATGCTAGAGTCTCTGTTACAGAACCATATCAGAGATGTTCAGCTGTGAATTCCTGATCCAATATTGATCTTCCCTTTAAATTAGTTCAACTGCCAACTAAATCAGTTGAAATGGTAAATTCTCAAAATATGTATTTCTTTTTTGTTTATGCAATGTATAAAGAGCAAATTTAAGAAATGAATCAGATAGGTTTTATTAATTTAGCTTTCATTTATTCAACAAATATTTTTCTATTATTTATTTTTGTTAAGTATTTGGTAAGCATCTACTCTGTGCCAGGCTCTGTTCTAGGTGATAAAGGAACAATAGTGTGCAAAACAAACTTCTTGCCTTCTTGGAGCTGACATCCTATGTGAAAGACAATGTGGAAGATATAAAAATCAATCAGTCATTTGGATTCTAGTCTTTAGGTACTTTCAGAGACTAGCTAGACAATGACAAATGCCGCAAGAGAAAAAAATATGTATATATACTGCAGGCCTTTGGAAGAATCTGTAATTGCTTCCAAGATGCAAAACCAGAAAAAAAGTTTGATATGGTTTAGATTTGTGTCCCCGCCCAAATTTCATGTCAAATTGTAATCCTCAGTGTTGGAGGAGGGGCCTGGTGGAAGGTGATTGAATTAAGAGATCGGATTTCCCCCTTGCTATTCTCGTGATAGTAAATTCTCATGAAATCTCGTTGTTTGAAAGTGTGTATCACCTCCCCCTTCTTTATCTCTTCCTCCTGCTCCTGCCATGTAAGATGTGCCTCCTTCCTTTTCACCTTCTGTAAGGATTGTAAGTTTCCTGAGGACTCCCCAGCCATGCTTCCTGTACAGCCTGCAGAGCTGTGAGTCAATTAAACCTCTTCTCTTTATAAATTACCCAGACTCAGACAGTTCTTTATAGCAGTGTGAGAATGAACTAATACAAGGTTCAAGCCCTTGAGCAGGACTTAAAGAATGGATGAAACTGACACCTGCAAATGAGATTAGAAGAGGCTCAGAGGACAAGAGAAGAGCATGAGCAAAGATACGCAAGCAGGGAGTTAAACTGATGATTCTATGTGGCTAGAGAGTTTGTTCCAAGAAGAGGAATTGTGGGAAAGACAGTAAAAAAGTAAGTTATGGCCCAGGACCAATTAAAACCTTCCAGGCTTTAAAAACTCAAACTGATCTAATTAAACTAAAGAGCTTCTGGACAGCAAAAGAAACTACCATCAGAGTGAACAGGCAACCTACAGAACGGGAGAAAATTTTTGCAATCTACTCATCTGACAAAGGGCTAATATCCAGAATCTACAACAAACTCAAACAAAGTTACAAGAAAAAAACAAACAACCCCATCAAAAAGTGGGCAAAGGATATGAACAGACACTTCTCAAAAGAAGACATTTATGCAGCCAACAGACATATGAAAAAATGCTCATCATCACTGGCTATCAGAGAAATGCAAATCAAAACCACAATGAGATACCATCTCACACCAGTTAGAATGGTGATCATTACAAAGTCAGGAAACAACAGGTGCTGGAGAGGATGTGGAGAATTAGGAACACTTTTACACTGTTGGTGGGACTGTAAACTAGTTCAACCATTGTGGAAGACAGTGTGGCAATTCCTCAAGTCTAGAACTAGAAATACCATTTGACCCAGCCATCCCATTACTGGGTATATACCCAAAAGATTATAAATCATGCTGCTATAAAGACACATGCACACATATGTTTATTGTGGCACTATTCACAATAGCAAAGACTTGGAATCAACCCAAATGTCCATCAATGATAGACTGGATAAAGAAAATGTGGCACATATACACCATGGAATACTATGCAGCCATAAAAAAGGATGAGTTCATGTCCTTTGTAGGGACATGGATGAAGCTGGAAACCATCATTCTCAGCAAACTATCGCAGGGACAAAAAACCAAACACTGCATGTTCTCACTCATAGGTGGAAACTGAACAATGAGAACACTTGGACACAGGAAGGGGAACATCACACACTGGGGCCTGTTGTGGGGTGGGAGGAGGGGGGAGGGATAGCATTAGGAGATATACCTAATGTAAATGATGAGTTAATGGGTGCAGCACACCAGAATGGCACATGTATACATATGTAACAAACCTGCACCTTGTGCACATTCACCCTAGAACTTAAAGTATAATAATAATAATAATAATAAAAAAAACTCAAACTGAAATGATTTCCCATCAACCATGAAATAGATCACTGAAAACAATATAAAGACAAAAGCTTTCAGTTTTCCCCCACAAAATTCTGATATTTCCCATGATGGCTTTAGTATTAGTCTGACTACATTTTTAATGTGTAACTGCAGACATGTTTTCAGTTTTCTTCCTCCTTCTTCCCCTCTGCCCCTCTTCTGGGCAAGCTGATAAGAAAGCCTAGTTGCTCTTTCCTGTGGCACCAACAAGGAGCTGCAACCATGAAGGATCCCTCACCTTGATCCTTCTCTTAATCACCTTTAAAACCCCAGGAAAGTCCTCGCTCCCTGCACTCTCAAATCATTTTGGACCTGCTTGAGAGGTTAGTAATAAATCTTTTCATACATTGTGTGTGTGGCTCCATCAGTCTTGACATCTGAAGCAAATTAAGAATGAGGTCCTATTCTGTATCTACAAAGTGGCTGCAATAACTATTTTAATCCTCTTTGTTAAAAGGTGATATTCCCTCAACACAATTCAGGGCCTCTGCTCTGTTCTGATTATTGAGACACCCAAGACCATTGGCAGCAACCTAAAGTCAGATAATAGAGGGTCCTACATGCAAAAGTCATTAGAATTTTAAAGTTTTCTCTGTAGCTAAAGGACCCTTGTTTCTCGCAGTTAAGTAAAATACTTGAAGATCATGTTTACCCTAAATACATAATAGATACTAACGGAAAGAATATTTTAGCAAGAATTGTTTCAATGACAGCAGATATTTCATAATATGCAAGTAAATTTGAGAAAAGTAGATATGTACTACAGTTATAAATGAGTAGTGTGAGAATTTGAGCAACTTTTCATTTATTTAGTAATTGTTTATCGAGGATTTACCACATGCAGTGCACTCTGCTTATCTCTGTAGGATGTAGAAATAGATTTATTTTCCTGTAGTTACTTTATATGCAGACCTAACACATGCATTCAAACAGGTGCAACTCAGGTGTTTAATTGGCCTCACCAAAATTGAAATGAATCTAAGAATGATGAAAATGAATTAATTGTCACTTAGCCCATAATGAGTCACTTATATTCAAGCCATTCATGGAGTATTAGGCTCTATTCTGTAATGCATTTCATGTACAAGTCATTCCTTGGCAAAAACAAATGGCACTGAAATTTCTAAAAGCTGATAATTCTGGATGATGAATAGCATTTTTCTAAACTACGAAATAAAATCTAATATGATGCTAGAAACATCACCCTCATAATTGAATATATTTGACAATCATATTCAGTATTTTATCATTGGTGGTATGTTACATCTTATTGAGGATTTCCTGGTTCTGTGAAATAAACCAACATCACCTTTTAAAATATAAAATATTTTAAATTCTTCTCTAATAATGCAATCTGAAAAATAAAGTTATTTTTCATTATTTGTAAACATACTGAGACATAAAGAAGAGACACAACTAATCTGGAAAAAGCAAGAGGAAAAATGCAGTAATTAATCAATATATCAAGTGTATCCACATATATGCTTTTACAGTTATTTAAGTAGATTTTCTCTCTGTGAATTCAAAGTTACTAAATCATCATCAAGAATAAAAATCATGAGCCAAGATGGCCGAATAGGAACAGCTCTGGTCTACAGCTCCCAGCATGAGCGACGCAGAAGACGGGTGATTTCTGCATTTCCATCTGAGGTACCGGGTTCATCTCACTAGGGAGTGCCAGACAGTGGGTGCAGGACAGTGCGTGCAGCGCACCATGCGTGAGCCAAAGCAGGGCGAGGCATTGCCTCACTTGGGAAGCGCAAGGGGTCAGGGAGTTCCCTTTCCTAGTCAAAGAACGGGGTGACAGACGGCACCTAGAAAATTGGGTCACTCCCACCCTAATACTGTGCTTTTCTGACGGGCTTAAAAAACGGCGCACCAGGAGATTATATCCTGCACATGGCTTGGATGGTCCTACACCCACGGAGTCTCGCTGATTGCTAGCACAGCAGTCTAAGATCAAACTGCAAGGCGGCAGCAAGGCTGGGGGAGGGGCGCCCGCCATCGCCCAGGCTTGCTTAGGTAAACAAAGCAGCCGGGAAGCTCGAACTGGGCGGGGCCCACCACAGCTCAAGGAGGCCTGCCTGCCTCTGTAGGCTCCACCTCTGGGGGCAGGGCACAGACAAACAAAAAGACAGCAGTAACCTCTGCAGACTTAAATGTCCCTGTCTGACAGCTTTGAAGAGAGCAGTGGTTCTCCCAGCACGCAGCTGGAGTTCTGAGAAAGGGCAGACTGCCTCCTCAAGTGGGTCCCTGACCCCTGACCCCCGAGCAGCCTAACTGGGAGGCACCCCCCAGTAGGGGTAGACTGCCACCTCACACGGCCAGGTACTCCTCTGAGACAAAACTTCCAGAGGAACGATCAGACAGCAGCATTCGCAGTTCACGAAAATCCGCTGTTCTGCAGCCACTGCTGCTGATACCCAGGCAAACACGGTCTGGAGTGGACCTCTAGCAAACTCCAACAGACCTGCAGCTGAGGGTCCTGTCTGTTAGAAGGAAAACTAACAAACAGAAAGGACATCCACACCAAACACCCATCTGTACATCATCAAAGACCAAAAGTAGATAAAACAATAAAGATGGGGAAAAAACAGAGCAGAAAAACTGGAAACTCTAAAAAGCAGAGCGCCTCTCCTCCTCCAAAGGAACGCAGCTCCTCACCAGCAACGGAACAAAGCTGGACTGAGAATGACCTTGATGAGTTGAGAGAAGAAGGCTTCAGACGATCAAATTACTCCGAGCTACAGGAGGAAATTCAAACCAAAGGCAAAGAAGTTAAAAACTTTGAAAAAAATTTAGACGAATGTATAACTAGAATAACCAATACAGAGAAGTGCTTAAAGGAGCTGATGGAGCTGAAAGCCAAGGCTCAAGAACTACGTGAAGAATGCAGAAGCCTCAGGAGTTGATGCAATCAACTGGAAGAAAGGGTATCAGTGATGGAAGATGAAATGAATGAAGTGAAGTGAGAAGGGAAGTTTAGAGAAAAAAGAATAAAAAGAAATGAACAAAGCCTCCAAGAAATATGGGACTATGTGAAAAGACCAAATCTACATCTGATTGGTGTACCTGAAAGTGATGGGGAGAATGGAACCAAGTTGGAAAACACTCTACAGGATATTATCCAGGAGAACTTCCCCAATCTAGCAAGGCAGGCCAACATTCAGATTCAGGAAATACAGAGGATGCCACAAAAATACTCCTCGAGAAGAGCAACTCCAAGACACATAATTGTCAGATTCACCAAAGTTGAAATGAAGGAAAAAATGTTAAGGGCAGCCAGAGAGAAAGGTCGGGTTACCCATAAAGGGAAGCCCATCAGATTAACAGCTGATCTTTCGGCAGAAACTCTACAAGCCAGAAGAGAGTGGGGGCCAATATTCAACATTCTTAAAGAAAAGAATTTTCAACCCAGAATTTCATATCCAGCCAAACTAAGCTTCATTAATGAAGGAGAAATAAAATACTTTACAGACAAGCAAATGCTGAGAGATTTTGTCACCACCAGGGCTGCCCTAAAAGAGCTCTTGAAGGAAGCACTAAACATGGAAAGGCACAACAAAGTACCAGCTGCTGCAAAATCATGTCAAAATGTAAAGACCATCGAGACTAGGAAGAAACTGCATCAACTAATGAGCAAAATAACCAGCTAACATCATAATGACAGGATCAAATTCACACATAACAATATTAACTTTAAATGTAAATGGACTAAATGCTCCAATTAAAAGACACAGACTGGCAAATTGGATAAAGAGTCAAGACCCATCAGTGTGCTGTATTCAGGAAACCCATCTCACGTGCAGAGACACACATAGGCTCAAAATAAAAGGATGGAGGAAGATCTACCAAGCATTTGGAAAACAAAAAAAGGCAGGGGTTGCAATCCTAGTCTCTGATAAAACAGACTTTAAACCAACAAAGATCAAAAGATACAAAGAAGGTCATTACATAATGGTAAAGGGATCAACTCAACAAGAAGAGATAACTATCCTAAATATATATGCACCCAATACAGGAGCACCCAGATTCATAAAGCAAGTCCTGAGTGACCTACAAAGAGACTTAGACTTCCACACAATAAAATTGGGAGACTTTAACACCACACTGTCAACATTAGACAGATCAACGAGACAGAAAGTTAACAAGGATACCCAGGGATTGAACTCAGCTCTGCACCAAGCGGACCTAATAGACATCTACAGAACTCTCCACCCCAAATCAACAGAGTATACATTTTTTTCAGCACCACACCACACCTATTCCAAAATTGACCAAATACTTGGAAGTAAAGCTTTCCTCAGCAAATGTAAAAGAACAGAAATTATAACAAACTATCTCTCAGACCACAGTGCAATCAAACTAGAACTCAGGATTAAGAAACTCACTCAAAACCACTCAACTACATGGAAACTGAACAACCTGCTCCTGAATGACTACTGGGTACATAATGAAATGAAGGCAGAAATAAAGATGTTCTTTGAAACCACCGAGAACAAAGACACAACATACCAGAATCTCTGGGACACATTCAAAGCAGTGTGTAGAGGGAAATTTATAGCACTAAATGCCCACAAGAGAAAGCAGGAAAGATCCAAAATTGACACCCTAACACCACAATTAAAAGAACTAGAAAAGCAAGAGCAAACACATTCAAAAGCTAGCAGAAGCCAAGAAATAACTAAAATCAGAGCAGAACTGAAGGAAATAGAGACACAAAAAACCCTTCAAAAAATTAATGAATCTAGGAGCCGGTTTTTTGAAAGGATCAACAAAATTGATAGACCGCTAGCAAGACTAATAAAGAAAAAAAGAGAGAAGAATCAAATAGACGCAATAAAAAATGATAAAGGGGATATCACCACCAATCCCACAGAAATACAAACTACCATCAGAGAATACTACAAACAACTCTATGCAAATAAACTAGAAAATCTAGAAGAAATGGATAAATTCCTCGACACATACACCCTCCCAAGACTAAACCAGGAAGAAGTTGAATCTCTGAATAGACCAATAACAGGCTCTGAAATTGTGGCAATAATCAATAGCTTACCAACCAAAAAGAGTCCAGTACCAGATGGATTCACAGTCAAATCCTACCAGAGGTACAAGGAGGAACTGGTACCATTCCTTCTGAAACTATTCCAATCAATAGAAAAAGAGGGAGTCCTCCCTAACTCATTTTATGAGGCCAGCATCATCATGATACCAAAGCCGGGCAGAGACACAACTAAAAAAGAGAATGTTAGACCAATATCCTTGATGAACATTGATGCAAAAATCCTCAATAAAATACTGGCAAACCGAATTCAGCAGCACATCAAAAAGCTTATCCACCATGATCAAGTGGGCTTCATCCCTGGGATACAAGGCTGGTTCAATGTATGCAAATCAATAAATGTAATCCAGCATATAAACAGAACCAAAGACAAAAACCACATGATTATCTCAATAGATGCAGAAAAGGCCTTTGACAAAATTCAACAACCCTTCATGCTAAAAACTCTCAATAAATTAGGTATTGATGGGACGTATCCCAAAATAATAAGAGCTATCTATGACTAACCCACAGCCAATATCATACTGAATGGGCAAAAACTGGAAGCATTCCCTTTGAAAACTGGCACAAGACAGGGATGCCCTCTCTCACCACTCCTATTCAACATAGTGTTGGAAGTTCTGGCCAGGGCAATCAGGCAGGAGAAGGAAATAAAGGGTATTCAATTAGGAAAAGAGGAAGTCAAATTGTCCCTGTTTGCAGATGACGTGATTGTATATCTAGAAAACCCCATTGTCTCAGCCCAAAATCTCCTTCAGCTGTTAAGCAACTTCAGCAAAATCTCAGGATACAAAATCAGTGTACAAAAATCACAAGCATTCTTATACACCAATAACAGACAAACAGAGAGCCAAATCACGAGTGAACTCCCATTCACAATTGCTTCAAAGAGAATAAAATACCTAGGAATCCAACTTACAAGGGACGTGAAGGACCTCTTCAAGGAGAACTACAAACAACTGCTCAATGAAATACAAGAGGGTACAAACACATGGAAGAACATTCCATGCTCATGGGTAGGAAGAATCAATATCGTGAAAATGGCCATACTACCCAATGTAATTTGTAAATTCATTGCCATCCCCATCAAGCTACAAATGACTTTCTTCACCAAATTGGAAAAAACTACTTTAAAGTTCATATGGAACCAAAAAAGAGCCCGCATTGCCAAGTCAATCCTAAGCCAAAAGAACAAAGCCAGAGGCATCACGCTACCTGACTTCAAACTATACTACAAGGCTACAGTAACCAAAACAGCATGGTACTGGTACCAAAACAGAGATATAGACCAATGGAACAGAACAGAGCCCTCAGAAATAACGCCGCATATCTACAACTATCTGATCTTTGACAAACCTGACAAAAACAAGCAATGGGGAAAGGATTCCCTATTTAATAAATGGTGCTGGGAAAACTGGCTAGCCATATGTAGAAAGCTGAAACTGGATCCCTTCCTTACACCTTATACAAAAATTAATTCAAGATGGATTAAAGACTTAAACGTTAGACCTAAAACCATAAAAACCCTAGAAGAAAACCTAGGCGTTACCATTCAGGACATAGGCATGGGCAAGGACTTCATGTCTAAAACACCAAAAGCAATGGCAACAAAAGCCAAAATTGACAAATGGGATCTAATTAAACTAAAGCGCTTCTGCACAGCAAAAGAAACTACCATCAGAGTGAACAGGCAACCTACAAAATGGGAGAAAATTTTCGCAACCTACTCATCTAACAAAGGGCTAATATCCAGAATCTACAACGAACTCAAACAAAGTTACAAGAAAAAAACAAACAACCCCATCAAAAAGTGGGCGAAGGAGATGAACACACACTTCTCAAAAGAAGACATTTATGCAGCCAAAAAACACATGAAAAAATGCTCACCATCACTGGCCATCAGAGAAATGCAAATCAAAACCACAATGAGATACCATCTCACACCAGTTAGAATGGCAATCATTAAAAAGTCAGGAAACAACAGGTGCTGGAGAGGATGTGGAGAAATAGGAACACTTTTACACTGTTGTGTTGGTGGGACTGTAAACTAGTTCAACCATTGTGGAAGTCAGTGTGGCAATTCCTCAGGGATCTAGAACTAGAAATACCATTTGACCCAGCCATCCCATTACTGGGTATATACCCAAAGGAGTATAAATCATGCTGCTATAAAGACACATGCACACGTATGTTTATTGCGGCACTATTCACAATAGCAAAGACTTGGAACCAACCCAAATGTCCAACAATGATAGACTGGATTAAGAAAATGTGGCACATATACACCATGGAATACTATGCAGCCATAAAAAATGATGAGTTCATGTCCTTTGTAGGGACATGGATGAAATTGGAAATCATCATTCTCAGTAAACTATCACAAGGACAAAAAACCAAACACTGCATGTTCTCACTCATAGGTGGGAATTGAACAATGCGAACACCTGGACACAGGAAGGGGAACATCACCCTCTGGGGACTGTTGTCGGGTCGGGGGAGGGGGGAGGGATAGCATTAGGAGATATACCTAATGCTAAATGATGAGTTAATGGGTGCAGCACACCAGCATGGCACATGTATACATATGTAACTAACCTGCACATTGTGCACATGTATCCTAGAACTTAAAGTATAATAATAATAAAATTTAAAAAAAAGAATAAAAATCACTAAAAGATTAAGCTTGCCTCAGTTTCGAGATAAATGTATAAGCATTTAAAAGAGAAGCCTAAATACCACCACCAGAATATGTGGTGACGCAAGGATATTTACTAAAGAATTGAAAGTTGAGTTGCTAAACTTAATCAACAATGTTGATAAAAATGAAGATTGCCAACGTAGGTGTTAAGTTTCCATCAGTAGTGGCAAAACTTGTGAAAACAGACTGAAGTCATTGGTACATCATTAGTGAAGACCGGACTACACCCTGAAACACATGAGATACACACCATTAACTCTTCCAAAGGCTATACTAATTCCAAACATGGAATAACTGCCACCCATTTCATGGCAAATCTCTTTCTAATGTGGATACCTTTCTTAGAAAGAAGCGATAAGCCTTTGACAAAAGCGTCCTACATGTAGAAGTGTCCTTGGCAATGATCCCTTAAAGGAAAGAAGACATTGTGCGAAAAAAAGGTAAGGACTTATAGAGAATGGACTGCCTTTCTAGGAGAACTAGGGTGAAAATGTGTGTAATTTTTTTGGGGGCATATAGATTGTAAGACAGAAAAGTCTACATTTCTTCACATCATCTTAAACCTTTAATGCCAGTGGTCCTTTTTGAGCCTGCTAGGAACTATCTTCAATTTGTGTAAAAAGACTCAATATAAAATATAAAACAAGAGGGAAGTCTTCCCCATGCTTTGGCCTTAAGGCAATGGTCAGCTTGCAACCTCAAATTCATATAACATTCTTTCAACAAATATGTTAAGTGCTGACTTATGCACCAGACCTCAACCTAGATGTTTAAAACATATCTGTAAAACTAAATGCCAAAGATCTCTGAGCCACCTGCTTTCTCCCCTGGATTTCTACAGTATCCTTCCCACTTTCTGCAATATTATTTCAATTTCCTCAAACTGCCAAGCGCCTCTAACCCTTACTCAGGGCAAATCATCTCAACTCCTATTTCTCAAAAAACTTGGAAGTACAAACTCTCTCCACTTTCTGCTACCAAATCTGTTTCTGTGCCATTTCTCTCCTCTCTGCCTATTATAAATCCCATCACTTTCAAACTTCCTAGGACCTTATGCTATCAATTTCCCCTTCATTCTGTGTCCTAAATAACTCTCTCTCCCTCTTCACTGAGTCCTTGCTTTTAGCATTTATGTTTGATCTAAACTAAAACCCCCTATTTAAAACACACACACACAGACACACACACACACATACACACACACACACACACACACAATCTCACATCATCTTCAGCCCCTGCCTTATCATCTCCCATTGAAAGCCAAACTTCTCTTTAAGAAGGTACAAACTTCTTGCTTCCCATTGTCCTTATTTCACCAGTCCACTCATTTCAGTATGCTCTTTGCCCTCTCCACATCACGAAAATTATTTTGATAAGGGCACCAATGAATTTTATGCTACTAATATAAGTCTAATTAACACTTTTCATTTGTCATCTTACTCAGAAGTATTTGACATGTTTACCACCTTCAAATCCTCTCTCCCTTGGCTTTCATTGCATCATACTCCTACTTCTCAGCCACCTTTCAAACTGTCTACTCTTCCTTTCCTGTGTCTTTAAATACTGGAGGTCCTTGGAACTCACATTAACACCTTTATCCTCTTCACATTCCTCTTTCTCCCTCTGGGCAAACTCATCCGTTCCCACAGTTTCATATGCTGTCATTATGATGAAAGTACCGTTCTTTTCTGACACTGTCTCTGAACTGCAAACTGTATTCCCTTGCTGACTTGAGTGCCACAGAGGCCCTGAAACTCAATGTGTCCAAAGCAAAGCTATGATCTTCCTTTCAAAACCTGCTCTTCATCCCCATTACTCTCTTATCACAGTAAATGACACTGCCGTCTACCCATTGAACATAGCGTTGGCCCTGTCTTTTTAATTCCATTTCCTACTTATTGCAAATATGTCCATCTCTGTCCATCTCCATTATCACAAGTTTAGTCCAAGACACCATTATCTTCTTCCTGAAGTTTCTTGTTAGCCTTCCTGGAAACTCCTACCTTCCTCTAATCCTTCATCCACATTACAACTAATTTCTTTTAAAATACAAATTCCCTTAAGTCATTGTCCCATATAAACTCAACAATAGTTTCTCATTACTTTTAAGATAAATGCCTTACCTTGGCCTCCAAGGCCCTTTGGGATCTGGCTCCTGACTGCCTCTCTCACTTTTCTTGCACCATCTTCCCCCTTGCTCACCTCTTTCTAGTCACAGAAAAATCATCCTGCCTCAGAGCCTTCACACATGCTGCTGCCTCCAGTGGAGCTCTGTTTCCCCACTTCCTTACTTCTCTAAATCCTAATCAGGTATCAGCAGAAATCTTAAATTTCATACAGCCTTTGGCAATTTATCTAGCCTTTTATTGCCTCAGTTTCTTCATCTGTAAAGTGGGATAGGTATGAAGAAGAAAGTTAATACAAGAAAAATAGTTAAAATGGTGTCTAGGATATAGTAAATGCTTAATAGATGTTAGCATATTATTTGTATTATTGTTACTATCACTGTCATTATTATCTTCCTTTTCAGGAAGGCCTTCTTTTGTTCCTCACACCACACCAAATCCTCCAAGTATATGCTCTTACAACATTCCAAAATCTTCATTCACTAGATTTAACTCAACTATGTTTAATTAACTATTCGTATAATCCCCTACAAAACTCCAAACTCCATAAGGGCAGGTACTTCATTGTGTATGTTGTCTTTTACAGGCAAGTCTAGTGTATGCCTGGTGCATATTAGGTCCATAAGACATAACGCTAAAGTTAAAAACAAGTGAATGAATCACAATTTACTCTTTGCTATTATTTTGTCTCAAATATCTGGGAGCACTCATGTCCTATTGCCATAACTGACCTAACCCCCTTGGGTAGTGCCAGAAGATGTAATTTGTCTCCTTGGGTCCTTGAATCACAATCTGCTCTTCATTCATTTTTTTTTTGTCTCAAACATCTTGGAGCACTCATATCCTATTGCCATAATTGACCTACTCCGTCTTGGGTAGTGCCAGAAGACGTAATTTGCCTCCTTGGGTCCTTTAATGAATTGAATTGTGTTCTCTCAAAAGATATACTGAAATCCTCAACCCCTGCTGCCTATAAATGTGACCTTTATTTGGAATAGCATCTTTGCCAATGTAATCAAGTAATATAAGATCATTAGGGTGGGCTCCGATCCAATATGATTTGTGTCTTTATATGAGGAAAATGTGGACATAAACACTGAGAGGAGAATGCCATCTGAAGACAGGGAGATGGCCATGTGAAGACAGAGGCAGAGATTGGAGGAGTTATGTTGCCACAAGCCAAGGAGCACTAGGATTACCAGAAGCTGAAAGAGACAAGGAAGGATCCTCTCCTAGGGGCTTTGGAGGGAGCAGAGCCCTGACAACACCTTGACTTCTAACTTCTAGAACTGCAAAAGAATAAATTTCTGTTACTTTAAGCCAGCATTTGTAGTACTTTGGTACAGCAGCCCTGAGAAACTCATGCAAGTCTTTTCAGAAAAGAAGTAATTCAGAAGCAGATAAACTGAGAACCTGGGCAAGTGGACAGACTGCAGAATCATCTCTGGCACTCAGTGATCTTCTTGTCCCCTCATATTCAGGACTCACTTCACTAGCAGCCCAGGAACTCTGAAACATGAGCCAGGTGGGAGCCCCTCCAGGTCCTGCACCTGGTTCACCAAGCAACCTGGGCTTTCCAGACAGGGCAACAGCCTGGTGTCTCCTTGGATGATGTCCAATTAATGGGTAAGGTTAGATTGACTAACAAAGGCCATTTGCAAGAGGAGACACTGGCTACTGTTTGCTCCTTGGCTGAAAAAGAAGTGTGTCCTTATAATGCATTCAACACAACTGATTATAGAATAACTTTTTCCATATTAAACAGCAGTCATTCTTTCTGCCAGTCAGCAAGCCATGATGAGTCTGAAAATGCTTAAATGGCCAACTCAGAGAATGGTGTGTTTTCACCTGTGCTTTTTTAAAGCAGGCAGCAATAGTATACATTTAGTCAATTGGTGGAAAGAAAGTATTTGTTCTGTCAGCTTTTGTATGCTCGGTGATTACAGAACTGCCAACATTATTATTCTTGCCGGTTCACATGGCTGCTTGACAACCTCTTATCCATTTGCATTTTCAGTAATTTTTCCAATGGTGTAATTGGAAAGCTTTAAGATTACACAAAAGTAGAAGGCTAGAGAAATCTGTGAATGCTGTCTATATTGTTTTGAATTATGGTGGCTGCAGTCTTATTACCACCACTGACAGGCCTGAATTCAGATATAATCAGAGTCATTTGTTAAATATGAATAACAAAACTTAAGTATATGTATTTTGATAAGTTTGGCACAATAGCATTATAAAAAGAGATCTTACTATTTCTGCCAACACACACACACACAAACACACACACACACACACACACACGGCATTACAAATATTCTCATGCTACCTCTTGAAATGTTTTATAAAATTTTTATGATATTTCTGTTATTAAAGAAACCGCGTTTAAAGATTCAAAGAGAATTCTTTCAGGTGGACCTTATAGAAACAAAATATCTAATTGTAATTTTTTAGTGAACTTCAGACTTCAAAAGCTCCAAAAGCATTCTAGCAAAAAGACATTTCAATCCTAAGTAAATGACTACATGAGCCACTTTCATTGTTATTTTTCTCACGAGTCAAAATATATTGATATTCTCTTCAAAAGAGCAGGGTTCTAAAAAATAGAAAAACACTTATTCTTTATGAAAACTAATAAAACCTTTAAACAATGAAGTCAGTTCCACCTAATCTACATACAATTTGCTCTTGCTTGAAATTCCATTATCAAGTCCACAAAAGTGCTTAGACATTTGGAGTGGAGAACTGCATTTATGAAAGTGTGAGTGACTCCAGGAGGTTTTATCAGTTTATCCATTTACCCATTTCTGTAGGTGTTGACTGTTCTCTCACACTTATCTCTCTACTGCAAAATGTCCAGCAGGGTGGTTCCAAACTATGGGTCTTTGACAAGTGTGAGGCCATTGATTTATTTAAAATATCTAAAAATTTATATGCAGCCAGGCATTATCTGTAGTCAGAATAATTTTTCATACAAATAATTTTTCAAGTACAGATTGAACCTGCTGTGATTAAAATAAAATTACTTTTCAAAAAATTATATTATTCATCATAGTTTTTAAATTTATTTTCTCTATCATCAGATATAAAAAGCAGTTACTTTTATGTAACTGCACTAGAATATCTCAAATCTACATAAAATCAATAATAGCTACCAATTATCAAATGTTTATTATGTTTCAGGAGTTGTGGTAGGCACTTAATCTTTATCTCATTTAATTTTTACAGTAACCTTAGGTAATATTAATAAATCACAGATTATTGGATACAGCCAGAGAGTTTATTCTCCCAAAGTCATACTGCACAAAATGTGGGTGCAGAATTCTGAAGTAGGACAAACTGAACTCTTTTTTATAAAGTAGGACCAATCTGGTTTGTCTAAAATAGGATCAGTGTAACATTTCCTGTACTGCAAAATATGATTTAGCCATTGGTAAGCTGGAGCCACTCATGAGAGACCATGCCAACTGTTAAATGTCCAGCAATTTTGCAAATCGATGGTTAAAATCTGGTAATTTGAACTTGGCCATGAAATATTTTCACCATGGAAATCAGAAAGCACTACAAATAAGGGTTTTTTTTACCCCCCAGCCCTACCACCCAGGAGAACTTATTTACCAGCACACTACTGGATATAGCAAAAGATTCCGAGAATTATTTCATTTTCACTTTGGTTCAAATGAGTCAGAATAATTTGTCTCCTCAAGAGTTTGTTAAAAGGGGAGGTAGACACATTTGAAAAGTAAAGAAAGTTTGCCTGTGGCACCAATTCCAATATCTCACCTCTGTTTTCTGGTTTGCAGAGGGTTTTGAAAGAACAGACCTGCCTTTTCACATCTGTGATTATTCAACCTCCAAAGCCAATAGGATAAGACCAAACCTTTATTCCTTCCTAAGACTTCTAATCTCCAAGTAACCTCAAACCACAAAACTTACCCTCATACATTATACATTATGTTTTCAAAACTTTTACTACTCTATATTTTTCTCCAGAGTCAAAAAGGGCTTTTGTCTCTATCATAAAATACTGGATAATGGTCAGAGTCTAGAGTAAATATTACAGGTTGGTCATTTTCTCTGCCACATATTTGGTTTCATGGCTACTTTCTGCTCAGTTCATGAGAGGCAGAAAGGTCAAAAAAGACCTGCCAACTGGGGTCAATGCCTTTGCAACGTCAGCATTTTTAACATCTTCCTCAAAGGTCCTCACTTAGTCAACCCCAGTCTTTTTTATAGATACGCTTATTGTTAAGAGGACATTACTATAGTACAGCTTCATGCTGCTATAAATTTCTGAAAACTGTTTTGGTTTTTAAATGAGACACACCATGTGCTCACTCATCCAGATGAAGGAAAGTGCTTATCACAGCTCAGTGGGCTGGATGAGTTTAGCAAGATACATCCTGTCGATCAATATTCCCCAAATCTATTCTCTCTGGTAGTTTTCAGTAGACCAGCTATTTTTTCATAATTAACAAGAAGAAGTTTGAGAACAAATAAAAACTTCAGAAAGTTGCCTACTCATCAATGAGCAATATTCTTCAGCTGCTTTGTTGTCAAAGAATAATCCACTTATGAGACCAAAGCAGACATTGTGGAAGTTGAAATGTTTATGTAATGAGAGTACAAGACAAATAACTATTGCAAAAATCCCTTTAATAAGAATGAGGAAGTGATCAATATATTACTAAAACATACTTTAATAAATAATAAGATGGATCCTAAACTAATACAAATTATTTCAATTTAGCCTGTAAATTTATAACATTATTAATTTTTATTATTTAATCTATTTTTTATTTTTATGGGTATATAAGTATGTATATTTTGGAGATATGTGAGATATTTTGATACAGGCATACAATGTATACTAATTGCATCGGGGTAAATAGAGTATCTTCATCTAATTTTATCAGACTCCCAATTTGATCTGTGAGGGAGTTAACTAAATAATGGGTTATGCCTCCTGTCATAACACCTAGAAAACTGACCAAAGTATATAAAATAAAATTTTTCAGAGGCTAAACAACAAATATCACAGGACTGTGGTAAAGTCCTGTTAGAGAAGGGAAGCAAATGATAGGACTCCACAATTGACCCAGATTGCTTCCTGAGCCCACTTTTGGATCTAAAGAATATAAGGCAGAAATTAGAGGGCAGACATATAAAGAATATAAGGCAGAAATTAGGGGAGAGATAAGAGGTAAGAAAGATGGAGGTACCTGAAATTTGAAGGGCAAAGAAAGAGCCGCACAGAGAAAAAGCTCCAGAAATCAACTAAAGGGTCCTCTTGAATCTTTGGTTGAATATAGGATGATACTACATGAAACTAGGCAAAGCACAACTGCTGGAGAGAGAACAACCACCTTAAGCCATAACCACAATAACTACCAGAACTGGCGTAAGACAGAGAGGAATTTGATTTGTGATTAGCCAGAGTGGAGACTCCTTGTTGAACACCCAGGGCATTCAGAAGAGATTCCAGAAAGACCAAGGCTGAGGAATAAGGTTCATTCCACAAAATCTACTTCAAACTTGCCACAATAAAGCTTGAAAAGGCCTCAGTAAGATCAGGCTGATATTCAAATATGTTAAGCACCTGACATAACAGAACTCAACACACTTCAAGGAAGATAACAAAATCCAGATCCTCACAAACATAGCATTTCAAATATCTAGAATCTAATCAAAACTTCCTAGACATGCAAAGAAGCAGAACAGCATAACCCCTAATCACGAGAAAACTCAGTAAATAAAAATAGAACTAGAAATTGCAGGGGTGATTTAATTAAAGACTCTGAGAAACAGCATTATAAGTATGTTCATGTTCAAGGTTTAAATAAAGTAAAACATGACTCTAACAAAGGAATAGAGACTGTCTGTTAAATGGAAACCATACAAAGGAACCAGATGAAATTCTGTAGCTAAAAATATAATTAAATGAAAAATTTGCTGTACCAGCTTAATAGAAGATTAGATACTCCAGGAGAAAAGATTAGTGAATTTTAAAACCAGGTAATCAAAATAATAAAGAAAAAAGAAAAAAGAAGTCTTTAGAAAACTGGTAGAGCCTCAGTGATCTCTGAGACGATATAAGTCTAACAAATACATAATCAGAGTCTCAGAAAAGAGAAAAAGCATGGGGCACAAAAATGTTTGAAGAACCAATAGCCTAGAATTTCAAAATACTATATGAAATAGAAACACATAGATTTAAGAACCAAACCAAACCAAAAGCAGAATAAACACAAATGAAAATCACACCAAGACACATCATAATCAAATTACTGACAATGAATAATAAAGAAAACATCCTTGAAGCAGCCAACGGGAAAAAAGACACAAACACTTAATAGGAAAAAAATTATAAAATAACTCTTTAACTTTTCATCAGAAACAAAGCCAGAAAACAACAGTAACAATAAAATGATATTGTTAAGGTTCTTGGGGGATGGGTGGGATGGAGTGTCAACTTAGGATTCTAGATCCAGAGAAAAATGTCATGAAAAAAGAAAGTAAAATGGACATTTTCAGACAAATAAAGCTGAGAT
Source organism: Homo sapiens (assembly GCF_000001405.40). NCBI lineage: Eukaryota > Metazoa > Chordata > Mammalia > Primates > Hominidae > Homo > Homo sapiens. The sequence goes on from NC_000003.12 coordinate 153,811,689, forward strand.
CATTTATTACCAGTAACCTCCACTACAAATAATGTTAGAGGATGTTCTTCAGAGCGAAAGAGAATAATAACAAATGTAAACATAGACCTTCACATGGGAATGAAGAATATTAAAAATAGTAAGTATATGGGTAAGTATAATTTATTTTTCCCTGTTTTAAAAACTCTAGGCCGGGTGCGGTGGCTCACACCTGTAATCCCAGCACTTTGGGAGGCTGAGGCAGGCAGATCACAAGGTCAAGAGATTGAGACCATCCTGGCCAACATGCTAAAATCCCATCTCTACTAAAAATACAAAAATTAGCCAGGCATGGTGGTGAGTGCCTGTAGTCCCAGCTATTCAGGAGGCTGAGGCAGGAGAATTGCTTGAACCCAGGAGATAGAGGTTGCAGTGAGCCGAGATCGTACTGCACTCCAGCCTGGCGACAGAGTGAGACTCTGTCAAAAAACAAAACAAAAAAAACTCTAAGGTTAATTGACTTTTTAAAGCACAATTAATAATGAAGTATCATGGGGTACATAATATATGGAAGTAAAATATGACAAGAACAAAGCATAGGAGAGAATAAATGGAAGTATAATGCTAAAAACTTAAAATTATACATGAAGGTATATAATATTTCTTGAAAATATACTTTAATAACCTATAGATGATTAATGTACATTCTAGTGTAACCATTTAAAAATACATGAAGAATTGTAGCTAAAATCCAATGGAGGAAATAAAATGAAATATTAGAAAAATAAATTCAAAGTAAGACTTTAAAAAAGAAAAAATAAAACAAAGATTATACCAGACAAGAATAAAACTAATAGTAAGATGGTAGACTTAAACTCAAACATGTTAATAATAACATTGCATAGAAATGTACTAACTACACAAATTAAAATGCAGAGATTATCAGGCTAGACTAAAAACAACAAGATTCAACTTACTTGAAATATAAAAACACAGGTAGGCTAAAAGTAAAGGGTTATATTATGTAAACAGTAATCATAGGAAAGCTGGAATGACTTTATTAATATCAGAGAAAGTAAACTTTAGAATAAGGATTTTATTAAAAATAAAATAAAAAGGGATATTTTATATGATAACAGAGCCAGTCCATCAAAAATGATGTAGCAGTTCTAATTGTGATTCCAAACAATTTTAGAGCTTCAAATGAAGCAAACACTAACAAAACAAAGGAAAAATGGATAAATCTACAATTATAACTGAAGACTTCAAAGTCCTTCTGTCAGTAACTGATAAAATAAATAGACAGGAAATTAGTAAAAATGTAGAAGAGTTGAGCATTCTTATCAACTGACTTGACCAAATTGATACTTATGGATCACTATTCCCAACAACAATCTTTACTAGGATGCATAAAATATTCTCCAAAATAAGTCATATTTCTAGACCATTAAAAAATCAATTTAAATAATTAAAACTATTCAAAATATGATCTCTGATCACAATGGCATTAAATTATAAATCAATAACAATAAATCTGAAAAATTAAAATAGTGGGAATTAAGGAAAAAACCTTTTACAACCCATGTGTCAAAGAAGAAATCATAAAGACAATTAAAAAACATCTCAAATTGAACAATATCAAAAACACAGTATATCAGAATCTGCAGAATTAACTAAGCAGAATTACCTTTATGGTTTCAAAGCTTGTATTAGAAAAGAAGCAAGGTTTAAATTAATGATCTAAGCATACACTATAAGAAGTTAAGTAGAGCAAAGTAAACCCACAGTAAGTTGAAGTAAGAAAATAATAGAAATAAAAGCAGAAATCGATCAAATACAAAACAGAAATAAAAAGAGAAAAATGAATGGAATCAAATATTGATTATTTAAAAAGATTAATATAATTGAAAAATCTCTAGCTACTCTGATTGAAAAGAAATAAAACACAGATTACCAATATCAGAAATGAAAGAGGAGACATAATTAGAGATCTTACAGAATTTAAAATGTTAAATATAAAATATTGAAACAATAGTATGCAAATAAATTCAACAACTTAGATGAAATAGACATATTACTTAAAAGCACACAAGACTAAATTAAAAATCTGAATAGCCCCATATGTATTTACAAAATTGATTTCATAATTTGATATCTTCTGACAAAGACAACTTCACCCAAATAGCTTCACTGGTGAATTCTATTAAAAGTTTAAGGAATAAATGATATCTATCTTATGAAAACTCTTTTGTAGAAGAGAAAAGAAGGGAACAATTTTCAACTCATTTTACAAGTCCAGCATAACCATGATACTAAAATCATAGATATTAGGGAGAAAAAATACAACTAACAGACCAATATTTTTTTAACATAGATACAAAAATCCTTAACAAAATAATAAATTTACCTCTAGCAAAGTATAACAAACACATAATGATAAAGGAATCTCGAGAATAAGATGTTGATTTAATATTCAAAAATCAATCCACATTAATAGAATATGGACAAAAAGCTTACATAATAATCTCTCAAAAAATGCAGAAAAAGCTTTTTTTTTTTTTTTTTTTTTCTGAGATGGAGTTTCGCTCTTATTGCCCAGGCTGGAGTGCAGTGGTGCAATCTCGGCTCATGGCAAACTCCACCTCCCGGGTTCAAACGATTCTCCTTCCTCAGCCTCCTGAGTAGCTGGGATTACAGGCATGCACCGCAATGCCCAGCTAATTTTTTTCGTATTTTTAGTAGAAACGGGGTTTTACCATGTTGGCCAGGCTGGTCTGGAACTCCTGACCTCAGGCGATCCACCCACCTCGGCCTCCCAAAGTGCTGGGATTACAGGGAAAAAGTATTTTACAAATTAAAATCCATTCATTATAATAACTGTCGGTAAACTAAGAGTAAATAGCAACTTCTTCAATAAAGGGTATCTATTAAAACTCTACAGCAAACATCATATTTAATGGTAAAATACCTAACACTATCTTCATAAGATGAAAAACTATTACTGCTCCTATTACTGTCATTCAGCATTGTAATGAAGGCTTTGGTTAATGCAGAATGGCAGGAAGTAAGAGAGAGAATAGGCATATACATCAGAAAGGAAAAAATAAAACAATTAATATCTTTATTTGCAGGTGACAAGATTGTGTTGTACATAATTCTAAGAAATTTATAAGAAATATACCAGAACGAGTTAGTGGATTTAGCAGTCATATGATAGAAGGTCAATATGCAAAATAAATTTTATGTACCACATTCATACATATAATTAGCAACAAGAAACTGGAAAGTGTGATTTAAAATTACACCATTTACAATAACATCAAAAACATAAAAACTTCAAAATAAATTTAACTATATATGTGCAAGATCTCCACACTGAAAACTAAAAAACAATTCTGAGAAAAATTTACAACCTAAACAAACAGAGAACTATACCATATTAATCAATTTGAAGACTCAATATTTTAAGAGGTCAATTCTTCCCAAATTGATCTTTAGATTTAATAACATCTTAATGAAAATTTTAGGAGAATCTCTTGTAGAAACCAACAAACTGATTCTTACTGTCTATGGAAATGCAAAAGACCTAACATAGAAATAAAAAAATAACAAATTAAGGAATATCACATCTAATTTACTGACAAAGCTACAGTAATTAAAATATAATAATATTGCCATAAAATTAGACAAATATATGAATGGAACAGAATGGAAAGTCCAAAATTGACACAATCTTGTCAAATCTATTGTTTTTTTTACAAAGGAGTCAACATGATTCAATGGATAAAGTCTTTTCATCCAGTACTACTGAAACAACAAGATATCCATATGAGAAAAAAAAAAGTCTTGGACCCTATCTCAATCTGTACATAAAAAGTAATTTAACATAGATTATAGACTTAAACATAAAAGCTAAAGCTATAAAATTGTGAAAACGGAAGTAGGAAAATATAGTGATCTTGTGGTAGGCAAAGATTTCTCACAAAGGATCCAGAAAGCAATAATCTCACACACCAAAATATACAAATTAAGCTTCCAAATTTTAAATTTTGGTTTGCCAAAAGATATAACTAAAAAGAAAAGGAGAGTCACAGCTTGGGAGAAAATATTTGTCGTGCACATACTGAACAAGCACCTGTATCCAGAATATATGAAGCACAATTATACCTCAATAATAATCCTATAAATAATGGGCCAAATAATTTAACAGCTTGTACAAAATAAAATACACAAATGCACAATAAGCTCATGAAAACATGTCCAACATCATTAACTATCAGCAAATGCAAATTAAAGCCACAAAGGGATATTTCAAAATATTTAATAAAAATGATATCCAAAATATCCAATAAAAAGACTGAGAATATGAAATGTAGGCAAGGATGCAGAGCTACTGGAATTCTTATATGTTGGTGGTAAAAGTATAAACTATACAATGAACCTGGAAGGGTACCCAGCAGTTTCTCATAAAATTAAACATTCTGCTATGTTTTGGATATGGCTTGCCCCCACCAAAACTCAGGATGAAATTTGATCTCCAATTTGGTGGTGTTGGGAGGTAGGACTAAGTGGAAGGTATTTGGGTCATGGGGGCAGATTTCTCATGAATGTCTTGGTGCTCTCTAGAGTTTTCTCTCTGGCAAGAGTGGATTAGATCCTTCAGGAATGGATTCCTTCCTATGAAAGTGAATTGTTAGAAAGCAAGGATGCCCCTCAGGTTTTGCCCCACTGCATGTGTCTGCTTCCCCATTGACCTTCTGTCATGTTGTCACACAGCATAAATGCCCTTGCCAGAAGCCAAGCAGATGCCGGTACCATGCCCCTTGAACTTCCTAGCCATAGAACCATGAGCTAAATAAGCCTCTTTTCTTTATAAATTACCTAGTCTCAGGTATTCTGCTATAGCAACACAAAATAGACTAAGACACATCCCTACTCAATAACATAGCTGCCTCTTCAACATATTCACCCTAAGGAAATAAAAACATATGCACATAAAAACTCTTACATTAGAATGCTCATAGCAGTTTTATTGACAACAGCCAAAAGCTGGAAATAACCAAAATGTCCATCAATAAAAGGATGGAAAAGCAAATTGCTGTATATTCATAAAATTGAATGTTATTTAGTAATAAAAATGTACAAACTACTGACATATATAAAATGTGGATAAACCTCAAAAACATGAAAGTGATCAAAAGAAGCCAGACACAAAAGGATACATACTAAATGATTCTTTTTATATAAAGTTCTAGAGGAGACAAAAGTTGTCTCTAATGACAAAATTCAAAATAGTATTGCATGATGAATGGGGCCTGGACTGGCCGGAAAAAGGCATAAAGAGACCTTTAGGGGTGATGAACATGCTCTATATCATAATGGGGTAGGTGTACGCACTTGACCTCATTCACTGTACCCTTCAGATTTATGCATCCCGGCCGGGCACGGTGGCTCACACCTGTAATCCCAGCACTTTGGGAGGCCGAGGCGAGCGGATCATAAGGTCAGGAGGTTGAGACCATCCTGGCTAACATGTGAAAACCCATCTCCACAAAAAATACAAAAAATTAGCCTGGCGTGGTGGCATGCGCCTGTAGTCCCAGCTACTTCGGAGACTGGGGCAGGAGAATCGCTTGAACCCAGGAGGCAAGAGGTTGCAGTGAGCTGAGATTGTGCCACTGCACTACAGCCTGGGCAACAGAGCGAGACACCATCTCAAAAGAAAAAAAAAAAGATTTATGCATCCCTATGTATGTAAATTTTACTTCAATAATCTAATCCCACTGAAATGTTTGAGCACCTCTATGTACAAAGATCACATGGAAAATAGTGGACAAATAATATGAATGACATACTTATTTTTAACTTCAGATATGGTTATATGAGGATTAAACATTTAAACAACTCACAATTCTGCAGTTCAAATGAATGCTGTACAGATTAAAGACAGAGTAATTTTAGAAATTATTCTAAGAAATTTATTCATTCAACTTGGAAGATATGAGTCATCTTTCATTTCAAAAAATGTTTATTGAGCACCTATAACAGTCAATGTACTAGGATGATAGATAATGTTCATTGAGCATCTAAAATGTGCAGACGCTGTGCTAATTTCACTGTAACATCATCTTACTGCAGCACAGTAGTTAAGAGCCAAGCAGATCTGGGTTTCGGTTCAGACTTTGTAACCTGCTATTTATATATAAACTCAGGGAAATGATTAAACTTCCATAAATTCAAAATTCTCACTTGTCAAGTGAGAATCATAGTAACTGTACCTATTTTGTTGTATGTTAGTAAAGATTAAATAAAATAGGCAAAATAAAGACATGGTCCAAATCCTACAGAATCAAGTAGGATGCTGACAACAAATAACTTCATTATAGTGTGTTTAGAAGTACGCCACTGGTGCTATACAGAGAAGAGGAAGAGGAGGTAAGATAAATTCCTTAGAAAGATGCCTAAATGGAATATTGAAGAATAACAGAAGAATTGAAAAATACATGAACTACAGGCAAAGGAAACATCATAAACATAATCTCAAAGGCAAAAAGTTAAAAGTCCTAATTGCTGGAATGCAAAACACAAGGCAGATAAGGCAGGACAGATTCAGAGGGCCCAAGTTTTATAGAAGGTTTTATATTACATGTTAAAAAGTTTGACCTATATTCTGTAGGCTCTTAGGAGCCATTGAAGGGTTTTAAGTGACAGCAATTTGGCATTTTAAAAACACAGGTGGCTCTATGGAAGTTGTATTTGAAAATGGCAAGGTTGGTATATGAGAGGGAACTTAGGAGGCTGTTACAAAATTTCAGGCAAGACATAATAAGGCATAAACTAGGGCAACTGTAGAGGCATGAAGATGGTGAAGTTCTGAGAAATTCAGAGGAAGTAAAATGGGCAAAGCAAACTAAGTCATTGGCTGTGAGGGGTGAGGGAGATAACATGCAGATTTGTTTCCTGAGTTACAATAGTCTCATAAGGATTGTAGGAGAAAGAATAGGTTTGATTTTGAGCATGTTACATTTGAGATACCTCTATGAATCCCAAGGGATTATGCATAGCCCTGGTGAATCTGCATGTAAAGCTCAGAAGAAAGTTTAAGAGTCATATGAATTGGGGAGCTGTGGAGTATAAAGAAATAGATCTATTAAGATGACTGAGATCATCTAAAAAGAAAACAAGAGTACAAACTGAGATGAGCCAAAGACATAACCCTGGGGTCACTAATTAAAGCAACTGGTAAATGAAGAACTTAGAAGGAAGGCAGAAAGAAATAGAAAAAAAAAAAAAAGTAGGAAGCAAACAAAGAGAGAGTAACATCCCAGAAAAAAAGAGACCAGAAAATTGGTCTTTGAGCAGTGAAAGGTGAGACGGGTATATTAGGTAGAGCAAAAGCCTGAAAGTTTCATGCTGTGTTCAGGAAAATATCCACACATTAAAAATGTAGTTTAAAGTGAATTAAGAGACTGGGACCAGCTAATGGGGTCTTGAAGTCAGTGCTAGTAAGTTCAAGTTTTACTCTCAAGCATTGGGAAAGTATTATAAGTTATTTGGGAGAAAAGTTACATATTCAATTGTTTATTTCAGAAGTCAAACTCTAATTTTGGTGTGAAAGAAAGAATGGAGACAGAAGAGATGCTAGAAGAGCATTTGGGTGGCAGTTGCAAAATATGGGAGTTGAAGGTGAGTGCCTGAATTAAGAGGATGGGAAGTCAGACTAGCAAGTTCTTTCCCCTGGGAGGGTAGGAAGAGTCATATGAATTGAGGAGCCATTGGTGGGTGTTACCAGTGAATACCTTGGGACCTGGTTTAGGGAAGTGAGAACTGAGACCATCTATGTCCACATGACTTACAGTCTGTAGACCACCTATGTCAATGTGGCTTAGTTCTTTGTTTTAGAAAAAACTTTTCCAAGGCAAAATAAGACTGTACGGCAAAAAATAATTCCTGATTGTTTCAGATAACTGTATCAAAAAGTTTGTTCACCTGAGCAAACAGCCCACTTACCAAAGAAAAGTTTACTTATCAAGACTTTCTGTAGGAGATTTTGTACAGTCTCAATTAGCTCCGATCTTGAAGACTTTTAATTACTTGATCTTAGTTGCCAATATTCCGTAGATATTCTGCTTCTGACTTCCAATTCTGAGACACTAATAAGACTCTTAAACTGGTGTTCTTCCTTACTGCGACAAGTTCTAGTTAAATTTTGCTTAACAGATTCCTTGGTGATAATTGAGAAAGTTTATTAGAGAGAATATAATGAATGCATTGTGCGACATATTTGACTTGAAAGATCTGGAAGACATTGGCAAGCAGGTAAAAATTTTGATATAGGGCTAAAAAGAAGATGGATGTAAAAATTTACATTTAATAAAGTTTTCAAAAAATCACTATTGTTGGGGCTCAGAGGATGATACCCCAGAATATGGTGCTTTGACATGCTGAGAGCTTTTGAATTAAAGGAAACTTGAAGGCCTTAGAGCTGCCTCAGAACCAAAACCTTTCTAACCTCTTGTTTTTCACCACCCCTCCCAAGCCCCACTCAATCCCCACCCCACTCCACTCCCATCACAAACCCACATCCACTTCCACCACCACCCACCCAAGTGCAAAGAGGAACTCTCTCTGAAAGTTCCCTAATCTGGCAAGGAAACTTCTTCCAAAATAAAATTCAATTGTCTTAAAACTCTCTCCCTAGGGATCTCATCAAATAACCAGAGAAAAGACTAAAAGTCATTGCCACACACAGGCAGACTTTTCATGTAGTGTGAGGGCAGCAACAAAAAATTACCTGGAAGACTTTATCTGGCATAATAAGACAGCATTTGTTCACACTGAAGTTCCACTCCTCACTTTTTGGCAATTCATCACCTCACCCAGAGCTCAGAGGAAACTTATCCCAGATCACTGTCTGTTCTGTCCCGTTTAGTTTCCAAAGAGAATCATTTACAAACTATTGTCTGCTATTTTGGGCCCATTCAATTCTCAAAAAAATCATTTACTACCCTTCAAAAATGCCTACATTTCCCCATTTCCCCTTTCCCTATGAAGAAGAATATTTAACTTGCAACCCTCATTGGCTTGATAATCATTCTTCTGTAATTTTTCCCCCATGCACCTTAAGAAATGTGTATGCCTTTTCTCCCATTATAGTCAGTTCATTTCAGTGAACCTTCAAAGGGCAGAGGGAAGTTTTCCTTTAGCTCCTACAAGATCATATCACTCAGATGGGCAAAATATGGATTCAGGTCAAAATGTTATAAACTAATAAAAATTATATTTTTCTTTAATCTTCTCATCAAACTACACAACCACTGTTTCCCACTGTACGTCCTCCACTTTATGAAGGTTTGTCATGCCAAGCTCATCCCTGACTCCATGATTTAGTTGATGTTGCTTTTCCCACCTTTAATAATTTTTTCCTGTTTTCCACAGTTTAAATTCCTCAGGGCTAGCAGCCCCCTTCTAGCTCTTGAAGCTTTTTCAGAGGCTTCATTAATTCTCAGTGTTTTCCCCTTCTCTTTTCTCTGTTGCTTAACTGCTCTCCAATCCATCACGCATTTGTTTTGTATCCCTGAGAATATTAAAATTGCCTTAAAGAGAGTGATCAATACTTACCTTTTTTATTGCTCCCAGTCCCTAGTTTATTTCAGAACTTGTAAGCCTTCAATGTATATATTTAAATGTATTAATTTGAACTCAGGAAGGTTAAGAGGAAATTCACATGTGTTTCTTTGCAAAAAAAGATATGTTTAGCAATTACCTGGTTAATATCTATTAGCTTAATTTGAGAGATTAGGAGAGAATGAAAAGGATATCTGAAAACATATTTAAGCTAAAGATCTAAAAGATGCAAAATTTTTAATTAGTTTCTGAAATTATTATATAGTAGGTAGCTAGTCAGACATAATAGGGCAGGAGAGTGCCCTCCCAACCTCCAACCAGGAATGTCAGGTGACAATCAAGTGATGGTCAGGTGGTTAAGAGTCTCTCTAAAATAATAATTGATTGCAGCCAGTACCAGAGAAAGGCAGTCTTCTACAGATAGGAAAAAGCTGAAACTGGTAATCAGTAGCTTCCAGTAAGATCTCAGGAGTTGAGAGAGTAGGCTTAAGCATGCGCACTAAGAGACAAAAATGGCAGAGTTTAACTGGTATATGACCTCCTAGGGACATTTGGCTGGTAAGGGAAGACGGCCTCAAGTAAGCATGCATACAATTCAAGTAAACGCACTGCACATGCCCCCCTCCAAAGTGCTAGCAGCCACTACACATGTGAATGGCCAACCACAAGGAAAGAATCAGGAGTGAAGGGACACAAGAACCCAGAAGTTCACCAACATATAAAACCCCAAATCAAAAGGTCAAAAGGTGCACTTGTCCTTCAAGTTGCCTGCTTGGCCTTCTTCCAAGTGTACTTTCCTCCTTTTCATTCCTGCTCTAAAGCATTTTAATAAACATTCAATTCTGCTCTAAAACTTGCCTCAGTCCCTTCTTCTGCCTTATGCCACTCCATTGACTTCTTTCTTCTGAGGAGGCAAGAATTGAGGTTGCTGTAGACCCATACGGACTTGCCACTGATAACAAAATGTGGATTGTAAGTATTTTGCATCAAACATTTATCTATGTATATAGAAGCATATACATAGTTATGTGTAAGGCTGGGAGGATATGTACCCAAATGTTAACAGTGGTTATCTTATGTGTAATGAAGGTAGGAGAAAGGATTGCAGGCAACTTTTTCTTCCTTATTTTCATCTTATTTATTTAATTTATTCTAGAGCACACTGGTATTTGTTGGGTAATAAAACGTAGTTGAACAAAATTAAAAGTATCAGTGTTCATTGTAGAAGTCTTTACAAGGTGTGTTAGAAATATGTGAGCACAATTATTCATCCTCAAAATAGAATAGTGAAAGAGAATGAAAGTGACAATGTAAGGACTAAAGGAAAACTTCCCTTCTGTCCTCTGAAGGTTTGCTGAAATGAACTGACAATAAACAAATTAGCAGAAGAAAAGGCATAAATTTTCATTAATGTACATAGAAAAAATGACAGAAGAGTGATTACCCAACAAACAAAAGAGGCTCAGAATCTTTTATACCCTTCTCTCTTAGTCAGGGTTCTCTAGAGGGACAGAACTAATAGATGTATATATGAAGATGAGTTTATTAAGGAGTATTGACTCACATGATCACAAGGTGAAGTCCCACAATAGGCCTTCTGCAAGCTGAGGAGAAAGGAAGCCAGTTCGAGTCCCAAAACCTCAAAAGTGGGGAAGCCAACAGTGCAGTCTTCAGCCTATGGCCAAAGGCCCAAGAGCCCTTGGCAAATCACTGGTGTAAGTCAGAGAGTCCAAAAGCCAAAGAACTTGGAGTCTGATGTTTGAGGGCAGGAAGCATCCAGCACAGGTGAAAGATGAAGGCAGGAAGACTCAAGTCAAGGCAAGTCAAGTCCTTCTACGTTCTTCTGCCTGCTTTATTCTGGCTGTGCTGGCAGCTGATTAGATTGTGCCCATCCAGATTGAGGGTGGGTCTGCCTCTCCCAGTCCACTAATGCAAATGTTAATCTCCTTTGGCAACACCCTCACAGACACACCTAGGAACAATACTTTGCATCCTTCAATCCAATCAAGTTGACAGAAGAGAGGGAAATCAGAAAACTTAGAGAATTGTGAGGGGTATAAATAATTTTTAGGGGAGCAGTTCCAAGATGGCCAAATAGGAACAGCTCCAGTCTACAGCTCCCAGTGTGAGCAACGCAGAAGACGGGTGATTTCTGTATTTCCAATTGAGGTACTGGGTTCATTTCATTGGGGCTCATCGGACAGTGGGGGCAGGACAGTGGGTGCAGCCCACCGAGTGTGAGTCGAAGCAGAGCGAGGCATTGACTCACCTGGGAAGTGCAAGGGGGTCAGGGAATTCCCTTTCCTAGCAAAGGGAAGGGGTGACAGACAGCACCTGGAAAATTGGGTCACTCCCACCCTAATACTGCGCTTTTCCAATGGTCTTAGCAAATGGCAAACCAGGAGAATATAGGCTGCATCTGGCTCAGAGGGTCCCACGCCCACGGAGCCTCACTCATTGCTAGCACAGCAGTCTGAGATCGAACTGCAAGGTGGCAGCAAGGCTGGGGGAGGGGCGCCCGCCATTGCTGAGGCTTGAGTAGGTAAACAAAGCGGCCAGGAAGCTCGAACTGGGTGGAGCCCACCACTGCTCAAGGAGGCCTGCCTGCCTCTGTAGACTCCACCTCTGGGGGCAGGGCATAGCTGAACAAAATGCAGCAGAAACCTCTGCAGACTTAAATGTCCCTGTCTGACAGCTTTCAAGAGAGTAGTGGTTCTCCCAGCACGGAGTTTGAGATCTAAGAGCGGACAGACTGCCACCTCAAGTGGGTCCCTGACTCCCGAGTAGTCTAACTGGGAGGCACCCCCCAGTAGGGGCAGACTGACACCTCACACGGCTGGGTACCCCTCTGAGACGAAGCTTCCAGAGGAACGATCAGGCAGCAACATTTGCTGTTCAGCAATATTTGCTGTTCTGCAGCCTCCGATGCTGATACCCAGGCAAACAGGGTCTGGAGTGGACCTCCAGCAAACTCCAACAGACCTGCAGCTGAGGGTCCTAACTGTTAGAAGGAAAACTAACAAACAGAAAGGACACCCACAACAAAACCCCATCTGTACATCACCATCATCAAAGACCAAAGGTAGATAAAACCACAACAATGGGGGAAAAACAGAGCAGAAAAACTGAAAATTCTGAAAATCAGAGCACCTCTCCCCTCCAAAGGAACGCAGCTCCTCACCAGCAATGGAACAAAGCTGTACGGAGAATGACTTTGACGAGTTGAGAGAAGAAGACTTCAGACGATCAAACTTCTCCGAGCTAAAGGAGGAAGTTTGAACCCAAAGCAAAGAAGCTAAAAACCTTGAAAAAAGATTAGATGAATGGCTAACTAGAATAACCAGTGTAGAGAAGTCCTTAAATGACCTGACGTAGCTGAAAACCATGGCACGAGAACTACGTGATGAATGCACAAGCTTCAGTAGCCGATTCAATCAACTGGAAGAAAGGGTATCAGTGACTGAAGATCAAATAAATGAAATGAAGTGAGAAGAGAAGTTTAGAGAAAAAAGAATAAAAAGAAATGAACAAAGCCTCCAAGAAATATGGGACTATGTGAAAAAGACCAAATCTACATCTGATTGGTGTACCTGAAAGTGATGGGGAGAATGGAACCAAGTTGGAAAACACTCTACAGGATATTATCCAGGAGAACTTCCCCAATCTAGCAAAGCAGGCCAACATCCAAATTCAGGAAATACAGAGAACACCACGAAGATACTCCTCGAGAAGAGCAACTCCAAGACACATAATTGGCAGATTCATCACAGTTGAAATGAAGGAAAAAATGTTCAGAGCAGCCAGAGAGAAAGGTCAGGTTAAGCCAGAAGAGAGTGGGGGCCAATATTCAACATTCTTCAAGGAAAGAATTTTCAACCCAGAATTACATATCCAGCCAAACTAAGCTTCATAAGTGAAGGAGAAACAAAATCCTTTACAGACAAGCAAATGCTGAGAGATTTTGTCACCACCAGGCCTGCCCTACAAGAGTTCCTGAAGGAAGCACTAAACATGGAAAGGAACAATGGTACCAGCCACTGCAAAAACATGCCAAATTGTAAAGACCATGGAGGCTAGGAAGAAACTGCATCAACTAACGAGCAAAATAACCAGCTAACATCATAATGACAGGATCAAATTCACACATAACAATATTAACCTTAAATGTAAATGGGCTAAATGCTCTAATTAAAACACACAGACTGGCAAATTGGATAAAGAGTCAAGACCCATCAGTGTGCTGTATTCAGGAGACCCATCTCACGTGCAGAGATACACATAGAAGAATCATGTCGAGATAGGTAATGGATGAGGAAGAAATTTGGGTTTGACTGAAGTAACGGGGGCTGTCCGTGAAGCCTGGCAGCAGTACAGCCTAGGTAATTTGCTGAGCCTGATGGATGTCAGGGTCAGTCCAAGTGAAAGCAAAGAGAGGCTGGGATGAAGGGTGCAAGAAATAGTAAAGAAAGCATGTTTGAGGTCCAGAACAGAATAATGGGTTATGCAGGGGTTGTGGAGGGAGGTATTGAGGATAGGAGAGTATATGGCTTCGGCCCCAGGGGGTGGATAGGCAAGACAATTTGGTTGATAAGGCGCAGATCCTGAACTAACCTGTGAGGCTTGTCCGGTTTTGGGACAGGTAAAATGGGGGAATTGTAAGGAGAGTTTATAGGCTTTAAAAGGTCATGCTGTAACAGGCAAGTGATAACAGGCTTTAATCCTTTTAAAGCATGCTGTGGGATGGGATATTGGCATTGAGTGGGGTAAGGGTGATTAGGTTTTAATGGGATGGTAAGGGGTGCATAATTTGTCACTAAGGAGGGAGTAGAGGTATCCTATACTTGTGGATTAAGGTGGGGAGATACAAGGAAAGGATGTGAAGGAGGCTTTGAACTGGGGCAAAAGGTGGCAATGAGGTGTGGCTGTATCCCAGGAATACTCAGGGAAGCAGATAATGTAGTTAAAATGTCCCGACCTAATAAGAGAGGTGGGCAGGTGGGGATAACTAAAAAAGAGTGCATAAAAGAACGTTGTCCAAGTTGGCACCAGAGTGGGGGAGTTTTTAAGGGGTTTAGAAGCCTGGCCGTCAATACCTACAACAGTTTTGGGGGCAAGGGAAACAGGCCCTTGAAAAGAAGGTAATGTGGAGTGGGTAGCCCCCGTATTGATTAAACAGGGGATGGACTTACCCTCCACTGTAAGAGTTACCTGAAGCATCTGTGATGGTCCAGGAGGCTTCTGAAGCAATCAGACAGTGTCAGTCTTCAGCTGCTAAGCTGAGGGGATCTGGGAAGGAGTCAGCCAAGGAACATTGGGTTTGGGCTCCAGGGTCCTTAGGAGCGGCGGCAATGTGAGTTGGACAGTCCGACCTCCAGTGGGGGCCCACACAAACAGGGCACGGCTTAGGAGGAATCCCAGGCTGTGGGCATTCTGAGGCCCAGTGGCCAGGCTTTTGGGATTTGAAGCAAGGTCCACGAGGATGTTTTGAAGGAGCCCCTGGGAGCTGTGGCTTGGATGTTCTGAATTTTTTGTACGTTGGAGACGTGGTTGTCGGTTGTCTCAGCAGAGGCAAGTAGCTGTAACTCAGAAATGCATTGCTGTCTGGCAAACTCCTCTCTATTATTGTACACCTTGAAGGCGAGGTTGATTAATTCCTGTTGTGGGGTTTGAGGGCTGGATTCCAATTTTTGAAGCTTTTTTCTAATGTCAGGAGCTGACTGGGTGATAAAACACATATTAAGAATAAGGCGGCCTTCTGGCCCCTCTGGGTCTAGGGCAGTAAAGCATCTAAGGGTTGCTGCTAAGTGGGCCATGAACCGGGCTGGGTTTTCGTCTTTACCTTGGGTAGTTTCTTTAAGTTTGTCATAATTACCAGCTTTGTAAGCTGCCTTTTTAAGCCCTTCAACTAGGCAGGAAACCATGTAATCTCGCCTGGCTATACCTGGGGAATCTGCCTGATAGTTCCATTGGGGATCTTCTCGGGGGAACTGCTCTAATACCTTCCTGGAAGTTTGTCTCCTGGAGCCAGCGGTTATCAGCATGAGATTGGGCTAGAGAAAAAACTCTTTCCCGTTCATCTGGGGAGAGGGTAGAAGTCAGGATGACATTTAAGTCACTCCAGGTTAAACTGTAGGACAGAGTTAGATATTGGAATTCCTATATGTATTTAGTGGGGTCTGATGAGAAAGAGCCTAAATGCTGGCTGATCTGGGAAAGGTCTGATAGAGGAAAAAGGCACATGTACCCTGACTATGCCTTCGCTCCAGCCACCTCTCTAAGAGGAAATTGCTGGGCAGGTAGGGGAGAGCTAGTCGCAGAACGAAACTGTAAACCAGACCGGGTGTGAGGAGGGGAGGTGATAGAAAGATTATAGGGTGGGGGAGCAGAGGCTGACGAAGAATTGGGACCTGGCTTGGCCTGGCGAGGAGCAGCCTGGAGAGAAGGGGAGAGGTCAGATGAGTCCATAGAAAAGAAGGATTCAAAGGACTCAGAGCTTGGGGTGGAGACTGAAGGAACAGACAGGAGAGAAAGAAGAAAGATCTGGGATGAGTCACATTGGGAGCAGAGACTAGGGAGGGACCAATGTGTAAAAGAATGCCTGGACGTCAGGCACCTCAGACCATTTGCCCATTTTTTGACAAAAATTATCTAGGTATTGTAAAATGGAGAAATCAAAAGTGCCGTTTTCTGGCTACTTAGAACCACTGTTGAGTTTGTATTGGGGCCAAGCAGTGCTGCTGAAGAAAATAAGACGCTTAGATTTTAGGTCAGGCAAGAGTTGAAGAGGTTTTAAGTTTTTGAGAACACAGGCTAAGAGAGAAGAAGGAGGAATGGAGGGTTGAAGGTTGCCCATAGTGAAGGAGGCAAGTTTAAAGAGAAGGGTAGAGACACGGAGAGAAGGGGTGGGGGGTGCTTGCCCCCCAGGAAAGTGGAGAAAGGGTGGGAGGTGCTTGCCCCCCAGAAAAGTGGAAACGGGATGGGAGGTGCCTGCTGCAAGGAAAGTGGAAATGGGGTGGGAGGTGCTTGCCCCCCAGGAAAGTGGAAATGGGATGGGAGGTGCTTGCCCCCCAGGAAAGTGGAAATGGGGTGGGAGGTGCTTGCCCCCCAGGAAAGTGGAAAAGGGGTGGGAGGTGCTTGCCCCCAGGAAAGTGGAAAAGGGGTAGAGACACGGAGAGAATGGGTGGAGTGAGCAGCCCTGGGCTGCAATATGGGTGAGCAGCCAAAGCAGGTGTCCCTGCAATTGACTTGCCACCAAAGGAATGTGGGTGAATGACCAAGGCAGGTGTCCTGTGGAGATCACACACCATGGAATGTGGGTGAATAATCAGGCAGGCATCCCCACAATGATTAAACACCAAGGGAAGGCTGCCTTCCCGAGTCCATGACCGGTGCTGGAGTTTTGGGTCCACAGATAAAATGTGTCTCCTTTGTCTCTACCAGAAAATGAAAGGAATTGAAATTAAGAGAAGGGAGAAATTGAAGGGTGGCACCAAGATTGAAAGGAAAATGGGTTGAGGGATAGTGAGACAGGTGGGAGAAGAGAGTAAAAAGAGGCCGCTTACTCAATTTAAAATCGGTGAGATGTTCCTTGGGCTGGTTGGTCTGAGGACGCGAGGTCATAGGTGGATCTCTTCATGGAGTGAGGGTGAGGACAGGGGACTGGTCTCCCGAAGGAGTCCCGCTGACCTGGGTCTTTGGCACCAAATGTCTCACACGTCCGTGTGAAGAGACCACCAAACAGGCTTTGTGTGAGCAACATGGCTGTTTATTTCACCTGGGTGCAGGTGGGCTGAGTCCAAAAAGAGGGTCAGCAAGGGGTGGTGGATTATCATTAGTTCTTATAGGTTTTGGGATAGGCAGTGGAGTTAGGAGCAATGTTTTGCGGGCAGGAGCTGGATCTCACAAAGTACATTCTCAAGGGTGGGGAGAATTACAAAGAACCTTCTTAAGGGTAGGGGAAATTATAAAGAATGTTCTTAAGGGTGGGGGAGATTGCAAAGTACATTGATCAGTTAGGGTGGGGCAGAAGCAAATCACAATGGTGGAATGTCATCAGTTAAGGCTATTTTCACTTCTTTTGTGGATCTTCAGTTGCTTCAGGCCATCTGGATGTACACATGCAGGTCACAGGGGATATGATGGCTTAGCTTGGACTCAGAGGCCTGACAGCGGTATCATTCTCTGAGCTCCAACACAACTTTCTTTCTATGCCATCTTTCTTTGTCCCGTCAACTAGATTTTTCCGTAGGTGGAATGATAATGGCTTAGGCAAAATAATCAAGACAGCTAAGAGCAGACAAAATATGAGTTTGGCAGAGATGTCTATGAAGTATCACCAAGAAATCTAAAGATTTTGAATCCTAAAGAGCTTTTTTTTTAATAAGCTATTCCCAGCCTATAAATTGATGTCTTCCTGTCAGTAACTAGAGTCATAGAAAACTCTTCTCACTTCCTATCCTGAAACTCTGATCATATAAAAGCAGCGATTATGTAGAGCTTAGACAGCACCTATCACAGGAAATGAGCAATTGCTTCAGTTATTTTACGGAGAACATTGAAGGAAATGATTAAGTTCTCCACACACAAAGAAAAGAACAAAGAGAGTTTGCACTATGGAAACATTTTGCAAAAATTCTACACAGTTTGAACTGAGAGCAATTGCACATAGAAACACTGAAAATATTTCTCAATTGGTGTTAAATCTATATAAATGCCAAGTCACTGTTCCAATGAAGAAACCATAGCACAGGGACATTGTGCAACAAACTAAAAAGTTCAAAATGGAAGCCAGGAAAGTGAGCTGGTAACATTTTTTAGCAATCCTTAAAGATACTGGAAGTTAAAAATAGAACCTCCTGTATAGACATCCTAATTTGAGCTACTTATTATCTATGTTTAATTTAACTGATGAATTACCTGATGTAATTAATTTCCATAGTATGAGTTTAGGCCCATTATTCCTTTTGTTGTCCTGTAAAACAACAACTTCTTATACAGTTGCATACATATTTTTGGACTTCATAGACCCTAACTAGCAATCACAATAAAAATTCTATGGCATTACCCTCTACAGGTGCTATATGACATAGACATACACTTACTGTTTTGATCAATACTGGGTAGTTAGTTCTTTTCTCTGTCTCTATAAACCAGAATTTTTATAGAGTGAAGTTATAAACCCAGGTGAAAATTATAGTAATGAACTGAACCTGTTGACTCTCCTTACATGCTTTATTGCACTGATGCAAACCAGGAAATCATTTTTATCGAGGGTCTTAGAGATCAAATAAAACCAAGATTTGAGTTAAACTTAATGACTTCAGATTTACAATTTAATATATTTACTTATTATTTTACATTCTGCATTATCTAGTACCCAAAGTAGGTCAGTAAGACAAAATTGGTTTTGGACCTGAGACTAATGTGCATAGGCTTCTCATTCCAGGCTTCTCTTATCTTCCTTTCTATTTGGCTCATCGATCCAAATCTGCATGTGTCAGAAGCCAACATAAATAGCAATTACCAAATATAAACACACTAAGTATTGGACACACAATTGAAATTTGGACTTTTGCCCCTGAATATAAATATTTCCCTCAATAATTTCTTTTCCCACCCAGTCATTTTTTTTTATACTGAGCTCTTTTTCAAGGTAAAAATTTATTCTCTAACAAATAGAAAATATCTTGGACTAGCCTAATTCTAACCTAGTGTTTATAATCCTTAGGCACTTTAAGAAGCAAATCAATGCAGACATTTGCTTTAAAAAAAAATCTGGTGACAGAATAAATTAGGCTAGCATCCTGAAGCTGAAAAAGTTTTGCCATTTGCACACCCCAATGATGTGGGAGAGCAAAATAATTATTCCAAAGCAGCCACATCAGATGGCACATTGGTTTATCTATTTTTGACTAATTTGACCATTAACATCACAGAGAGTAAAATTTAATGTGTACATATAGGAGTTGTCATATTGGATACTCTTTCTATATTCCTTATAATCTATTTCTTTGTCTTTATGGATTTTTCTGTATTTCTTATTCTGATAACACAATTCTATGTACTTGTATCTAAAACTGTAAATAAAATAAAAAAGCAATTAGCAGAAAATTAGAAATATTTATACTGCTTTGTAAATGTTTACTCTCTGTTTCATGTCAGTCTAGTATGTCTCATGGCAAAATAATCCATAATTAAACTTTACTGCAATATAAATGTTTGCAAAATGGACTGTCTTAGTCAGTGTTTAGAAAAATTAATCAAATCCAATTCCTTTCTCTAATGAACTTCTTCATGCACTACTAGCTCAGGCATGTAGCTCGAAGTGAGGCTGAGCAGGTAATTTGGAAAAGCTCATGGGTAGCTAGAGCAGTCTTCCCACTCTGTTCTGGAAAGACTTAGAGTTCAAAAAAGCATGTGAAATATTAGCTAAGGAGGAAATTCACACATTTGGTAACTTCAGGAAAAGTGCATATATCAAGTGCCTGGTTTTAAAAGTGCATTATAGGGTAAGATACCACATGCCAGTGAAAAATTAGGAAACTTAAAAATGCATTTCAGAGGCCAGGCGCGGTGGCTCACGCCTGTAATCCCAGCACTTTGGGAGGCCGAGGCGGGTGGATCATGAGGTCAGGAGATCGAGACCATCCTGGCTAACAAGGTGAAACCCCGTCTCTACTAAAAAAAAATACAAAAAATTAGCCGGGCGCGGTGGCGGGCGCCTGTAGTCCCAGCTACTCGGGAGGCTGAGGCAGGAGAATGGCGTGAACCCGGGAAGCGGAGCTTGCAGTGAGCCGAGATTGCGCCACTGCAGTCCGCAGTCCGGCCTGGGCGACAGAGCGAGACTCCGTCTCAAAAAAAAAAAAAAAAAAAAATGCATTTCAGGAAATTTTGGAAGATCCATGTAAACACTTGGGTAAAACCCAGACTTGATCAACCTAGGCCCTCGACATTTCCATATCGGAAAAGTGTTAAGCAATAAACTTCACATTACATCTGGCTCTGCTGCTTACTAAATGTGTGACCTTAGGCAAGAATTTAATATTTCTATGCCTCAGTTTCCATATCTCTAAAATTGGAGAGGCAGTATACACTGTATTGGTCCATTCTCGCATTGCTATAAAGAAACACTTGAGACTGGGTAATTTATAAAGAAAAGAGGTTTAATTGGCTCATGGCTCTGCAGGCTTTACAGAAAGCATAATTCTGGCATCTGCTCTGCTTCTGGGGAGGCACAAGGGGAGCAGGCTTTTTTCATGGCAGGAGCAGGAGCAAAACAGAGCAAAGAGGGAGGCGCAACACACTTTTAAACAACCAGATTTTGTGAGAACTCACTCACCATCAGGAGAACAGCACCAAGGGGATGGCGCTAAACCATTCATGAGAAACCCGCCCCCATGAGCCAATCTCCTCCCATCGGGCCCCACCACCAACACTGGGGAGTACAGCTGAAAATGAGATTTGGTGGAGACACAGATCCAAAGCATATTCCACACAGTAAAAGTTGTTATGGGAGATCAAACAACTTTTGACACACAGAGAGACACAATCACACAGGTGCACATTCACAAACATATACTAAGTGTTTATAATAGATAAATTTATATATTTGATAATTGCTGGCGTTTAAGGATCATGATTGAATTCTAAGTTGCGGTCAGGTCTTCTAGGCTTTTCCTCTGTTCATCTTCTAGGATCAATTTTTCAAAGTTTTCTTCTTCCCTTGTTGCAGATTATTTCTGAAAGCCTTTCCTCTTTACAGTTGCCACTATCCTATCCATTTATTTGACTCCCTCCGTCATCAAAGTTGTGGGTAAAATGGCAAAAGTCAGCTCTCTAAGTTCTCCCAAGGATCCTAGACTTTTTCTTCTTTCCTGATTAAGAGTTTGGAGGAAATAGACTGAGAATAGCAAAGAGAGATGAAGTGGGAGAAATTGCAAAGTATAACTTTCTGAAAGTTCATTTAGATGGCCATCTGTTAAAAGAGAGTAATTTGCATTTCTGAAGCCAATTAAACTAGAACCAGTCTTTGTCTAATATAATCCACCCCAAAGACAGACAGACAGACAGACACACACACACACACGCAAACACACACACACACAGAGTGAGAGAGAGACAGAGTGCATGTGTGAGAGAGAGCGAGAGTGTGTGTGTGTGTGTGTAAGAAAGAAAGAGAAACATACGCTTAATTTTAGTTATCTCCTAAACCTGGCATTTTTAGCCCAAAATATTCAGGGAGTCATTTGACTTGGATTACATCCTTATTTTTACAAACCTCTAGGTGAAACTCAACATTTCTTTTATTTATTAGCATAGTAGTCAGAGCAGTATTTATGCCTTTGTCACTTTATAATTGTTGCAAATATTATTTAATGCTCATTGCTACTTAAGAATTAAAGTAGCTACTAAACCTACTATAGATCTTATTATTTAATGTTTCAATAGAAACTGTATATGTTGACATGGTTTGAATGTTTTATTCCTTCCAAAACTCATGTTGAAACATGACTTCCAATGTTGGAGGTGGGCCTAGCGAGATGTGTTTGGATCATGGGGGCAGATCCCTTATGAATGTCGTGGTGCTGTCCTTGACATAGTGAGTGAGTTTTCCATCTGAGTTTATGCAAGATCTGGTTGTTTAATAGAGTGTGGCACTTCTTCCCTCTCTCACTTGCTCCTGTCTCTCTCTCTTTTTCTCACCATGTGAGATGCCAGGTTCCCCTTTGCTTTCTGCCAAGATTGAGAGCTTTCTGAGGCCTTACCAGAAGCCAAGCAGATGCTGACATCATGCTTCCTATATAGCCTGCAGAACTGTGAGCCAATTAAACTCCTTTTCTTTATAAATTTGCACAGCCTCAGGTATTTCTTTATAGATATGCAAAAATGGACTAACACATATATTATAAATTGGGGGGTTTTGATGTCTGCATTCCCATATAATTGGCTGACTTTGTAATTTATGCATTTTACTTTGTGCATATAAAGTATTACTAGCTATTTAGTTTTTCTTTTGTTTAAATACTCCATTATTTTGCATACTTGGGTTTCGTTCCATTTAGTTATGCTATGTTGATGATAGGCAGTAATCGTTTCACCTACATTTCATAATGGTGCTGAACCACCTCTTTAACAAGGGAGTTTGAAGCTAAGGATGACAAAAAAATGAATAAGAAGATAATTTCTTTAAAGCTTTATTGTTTAATTGTGGGGAACTGTTTTTCTAAGGAAAAAAGTGTTATATACAAATCTGTACAATAATGAAACAAGCTGCAATTGGCTTCTAAAGCGTAACAGGCCAAGTATATAATATATACCCTGAACACAAAGGCACAGCTCCCAGAGTTTGCTAACGGAACTTCTCACTCATGGAGGCATGCTGCTATATTATTGACAAGAATCGCCATAAACAGAGTCATGCAGCCATCTTGGCAAGACTTGCCCAACTGTGTGCTTAGGTGTTGCTTCCAAAATCCCTTCCAAATCACACAAGTGGAATAATTTCTCCTTGTGTTGAGCACATTATAACAGCTGCATGCTGTCACCATGATTTTTAGAAACAAATATCTAAGCTTTTTCAAAAAGCAGAGCATCCCCAAAATGATGATTTCCTATTATGTTGCAAAATTGCTTCGAAGCATTATTAATATTCTTTATGTCTGAACTGGGAAGCTTGCTAGGTAAGCTTAGAAGGAATTCATTTGCACAGTTACTGAAGCAAGATGAAGATTTACTGCTTTTCTCTTAGAGAGCTTGCTGATGTAAGATCAACATTATATGCCATTTACAGAATCCAGGAATCTTTACTTATAGAGAAACTTTTACCTGTGGAACTCATACTCATCTAAATATTATTCCAGCCAACTCCAGATTTGGTCCCAAACTGGGGTGTTATAAGAAGAAAAAGGCAACGATCATAGTTTCTTACTGAGAATTGCTTAGAATACCCACAGCTCCAGACTCCATGCCAGGTGAAAAGCTAAAAAAAAAAAATCTCAGTTTCTGGGATAGTAATTATCTTCCATCTTCCATAGTGAATAGTATATTTCCAACTCATGAAAATTTAGAATCAGCTTAGAAATGTTTAGGATAATCTAAGACAAAGAAATTATACTTTCAGATTGTGTAATGAAGAATTAACTTCACCCAACAAGAGGTCTGCCCTTAGCCTTCGGCTACTGGGAAGTAATCTCTAGGCCCCTAGAATATACTGCCTAATAAGAGTTTGTTTGTCAAACAGTGTAACTGTGATTTTTTAATAGGGGCTTTGAGTCATGCTACATCAGTTTTGACTTCCAGAGTAACCAGATTAAAGGCATTAGTCTGACTTCAGGAGGTACTGGACACAAAATATCAGCAGCAGAAACAGTATGTGGCTGATCCCCAGTAAAAGCTCTGGACATCAACAGCTTGGATGAGCTTCTTGTGGTCGGCCATTGCTATACATTACGACCAGGAGGAGGTGCTGCTCCGCATGACTTCATGGGGAGAGGACAGGAGAGGAGAACCTCCATGTTTAGACTCCTCCTAGACTCTGACCTATGCATCACTTCCTTTGATTAATTTTAATATGTATCCTTTCCCTGTATACTCTTTGAGAGTATAACAGCTTTCAGTAATTTCTGTGAGTCCTTTTAGCAAATTATCAAACCTATTACTTAGTATAACAGCTTTCAGCAATTTCTGTGAGTCCTTGTAGCAAATTATCAAACCTAAGGGTAATTATGGGAATCCTCATGTTTGTAGCCAGCCCATCTGAAGTAAGGGTGGTCCTGGGATGCTGCAGTGTTCAGCTGGTGTCTGAAATGAAGGCAGCCTTGTGGGAAGTGTTCCTTCTTCCTATATAGTTTGTCTAGCTCTGGGCAGGTATTAGGAAGGACTCTGCAGAAATTTAGAATTTTATATACTTGTAACATTTGGCTTATTAGAGCAACATCCTTGTAACTCCTACTTAAAATGAGCAATTGAGTTGACTTTTAATTTAACATCTTACCAAGTTTATTAGTGTTGCTAACTTTAACACATTAGTTTTATAAAAGTCATTTAAATAGTAGGAAGGTTTTAAGTAATCTCTGTTATTCAGCATTTCCAGCTTGGCCATGAGGCAGATGTTGGAGGATAAGTTAGAGAATAAAAAATATACTTTGAGAACTTGAACAGAAAAGAGTGAAAAAGAAAAAATAAAATTCTGACTTTAGTATTGCTCTAATAGTTATCAGTAAGTCAAGGAAAAGACGAATGGGGCTGAATACAAAAATAAGAGTGACAGAAAAAGGATATAAGGCTGTAGTAATTCCAACACTCGGGGAAGGAGTAGGGCAGGAGAGAATAGGAGGGACATATGGGGAAAAGGAAGCAGCAAAGGAGGATGGAATAATAAAATAGCAATAATAGATTTAAATTAAATTTATTGAGCATTTATTAAATACTAGGAATCCTCACTTACTCTCAACAACAATGGGAAGATATTATTATTTCTAGTGTTCAGAGGAAGAAACTAGGAGGAAAAGCAGAACAGGTATTTTTTTAAAAATCATGAAAAGTGACAGTCAAGATTTGAACCCAGGTCTTTTAATTCCAAATTCACAACTTGTTCCAAAATACTTGGCCTGCTTTGACTTCAACACTTGGAAAATGTATTCCTCACTAAGAGTATGTGAGAATTCTTTATTAGCTGGAATGTGCATCTAGTGTATTTGTGTAGTCAAACTTCTTAAATTTTTTTTAATTTGTGGGTACATAGTATTTGTATGTTTATGGGGTACATAAGATGTTTGGATACAGAAATGTAGTGTGAAATAAGCACATTATGGAGAATGGGGTATTCATTCCCTCAAGCATTTATCCTTTGAGTTACAAACAATCCAATTACACTCTAAGTTATTTTAAAATGAACTATTAGGTTATTATTACCTATTGTCACCCTCTTGTGCTACCAAATATTAGGTCTTGGTTATTCTTTCTAATTAGATTTTTTGTACCCACTAACTTTAATATTTTAGCTTTAACAGAAGAAAAACATAGCAGCAGGCAGGAACTACAGTACCAGCTCAGATTCCATCAATTTTCCCTTTACCTATGATGTTTTCCACATTCTGGCACAAATGTGAAGTCAATAACCACACAAAGTTGTGTAATTGCCATTGATTAAATCAGCGCTTCCCTTTATAAGCTAACATCTGTAGGCAAAATAGGAATTGTGTAAGTTGGACTATATACAAGTTGGTACACTTTAGGTCATTTCCAGGAAAGGCTTTCCTGGGCTAAATGGATATTTTCCCTTAGCACGAAACCATGAGGTCTGAAAACTGAATCTAGTGTAGTATTGTTAACTACTAGGAGAAAATTGGATACCAGTTCATTGAGTGGGTCCCAAGAATTCACAAAGCATTTTAAAAATATCAAGGATATATACCTGTGACTTGACTAATTGCATATGCTTCCCTTCCCTTTCAAAATCCAACTGAAATATAAACAAAAGTTAGACAAGAGAGGCTACTCTGAAGGGAAAACATTTTGTGAAATTTCTGGAAGAAAATTGGAAACAGTAAGAGAGGAGTCAATATTTAAAACACACTCACTTACACACATGCACATACACCTAAAACAGGCTGAGAGGACTACCACAAAGATCCAGGCATGTATTCTACACGTCCCCAGGAAACTCCAAGGCTGGAGTCCAGCGGAAGTCATCTAAGAGCAGGGGTTGTCCAAAAGCAAATGATCAAGGTAATTAATCAGAAGACTGTAGAAGTGCTGGACCACTCTGCCTCACTCCCTATAGTGTCCCACACATGGGTCATTTACCCTGACGCCAAAAATAGGAGGCTCCTTTCTGAAGGATCATTAGCCTTTGTGATGCGAGAGGGATGTGCTCCTTACTGGAGTGCTAGAGCTACAAGAAGAGAAGCAAAGCAGAGCTCAAGGTTATTCTAGACCCCTGCAAGGGAGCAATAAAAAAAAGCAGCCTAATCTACTTCCAAGAGTGAAATAAATTCAAAAGTAAAATAAATCTACTCAGAGAACAAACTCCAACTAATAGAGCAAATTTGTGTCTGTCCCCGCAAGCTTCACTTGAACCAATCTGAGAGCAGGTCTCAGCCTTTATCATACTCCCCAAATGCAAGCCACTCCATAAAGCATTTGTTAGAAATTTTAGCTTTTACTCACTATTTCATGGGAGACTAAGAAAATGTATATTACACATTACATAGGAATAACTTAATCACATATTATATTTAACTGTCCTTCCCTCCACTTACTTTCTCTCTTTTCCAGCTGCAAGAATATCAATTTTTCTCTTCCTCTTTATTATGTCTGTGCTGACAGTGTTCTTGTTAATTTTTACATGGTCTTCTTGCTTTCTGTGTAAGTAATCATGCTAATTTAACCTGTTTTATTTCAGGCAACAAAGCACACGTTATGTTCTTAAATTATCATAATCCCATAATTATCTCTTTACCTGCATACCCTCTTACAATATTTATTGTCCTATATATTATTTAATGTAACCATTTTCCTTCAGATCACTACTATTAATCATATACTGTTCCCTAAGTATTTTCATTATTTATTTTCCTGTGAAATAAATCTACATTTGCCTTCCCAACAATGGTGTCTCCTCTTAAACATTTCCCATTACCACACAAGCTAATTTTTTTCGAATACTTTGAGTCATGTATTCTATATCTTATAAGACTCTTGTAAAAAAGAAAGTGTCATACAAATTGGATTCCCTATATGACAAGAACAAAATAAGACTTTAGGTTTATATGATTAACACCTGTGAATCTTCCCGCCCTATAGTTCAGTTGACATGCACTCAGTCCTAAGATGACTTCCATCTAATTTGCCATGCAGTTCTACATTAAGAAAAAAGATATTTGATGGATTTTCCATAATTCCAAAAAAGTAGCCTACATGGCATCCATTGTAATGAGTAAATAAACAATACTTATATGGCTTAATCTAATTAGAACTTTTCAGAATGGCAGTTGGGAAAGTTAATTTCCTTGGGAGGTCAAATGGCATCTTCAATGGCTTGAAATTTCCAGACCAGCCTCTGCAATTCCACTATCCTGATAGAAGTGTGAAACTTAATTTATTTGTCTTGGCTAATTAAATTCTACCTGTGACAGTAAGTGCCACTACTGCTTGTCTATAAATTAAAAATGTTAATTACATGAGAATATTCAGTGTTACCATGCCTGGGAAGTTGATTACTACAGCCATGTTTTTGAAAGCATGGGCCAAAGTCACTTTGAACAGACAAGTTCCAACTATTCTTCTGGAATATCAATGAATCTTGAATGTCCAGATCCAAAGCAGTTGCCTAGTCATTTTTTATCCCCTAGCTGAGCACTTGATATATTAGCAATAATTTTCACATATTATACATCATTTTGAAAGACATGTAAGGTACAGAACATCAAAAATACAGGTCAAAATGCAGGTGTACATAAAATTATGAGCAGAAAACATAAATTTAAATTGATACCACCACTAAGAAAAAATAGAACAAATATGGAAAAGCTATAGAGATATGTTCACAATTTACAGACAATTCTAAGTTTACCATCTTAGAATGAAAAGGAGATCCTCTAAGTTTTCCTAATAGACACTGTTGGTTTCTACTCAGGATTGGTATTTTTCTCCTTTATTAACAAAACACCATTTTATTCATGTAACTACAAAGATTAAGAGTAATTCTTGGCAGGGTGTGGTGGCTCACACCTGTAGTCCCAGCACTTTTGGAGGCTGAGGCGGGCGGATCACGAGGTCAAGAGATTGAGACCATCTCGGCTAACAGGGTGAAACCCTGTCGCTACTAAAAATACAAAAATTAGCCGGGTGTGGTGGCATGTGCCTGTAGTCCCAGCTACTCGGGAGGCTGAGGCAGGAGAATCGCTTGAACCCAGGAGGCAGAGGTTGCAGTGAGCTGAGATTGCGCCACTGCACTCCAGGCTGGCAATAGAGTTAGACCTCGTCTCAAAAAAAAAAAAAAAAAAAAAAAAAATCAGAGTAATTCTCATTAATCTAAGTCAGTCATGGGGGTATTGACTAAATGTTTATGTGCCCCAAAATGTATATGTTGAAGCCTAACATTATGGCCTTTGGAGGTATAGCCTTGGGGGGATGCTTAGGTTATGAGGGCAGAGTCCTCATTAACAGGATTAACGCTCTTACAAGAGGCAAGAAAGCTTGACCTTGCCCTCTGCTGTCTGCCATTTGAGGATACAAGGAGAAGATGGCTATCTGTAAACCAGGAAGAATGTCCTCACTAGACACCAAGTCTGCCAGAACCTTGATCTTGAACTTCCCAGGCTCCAGAACTGTGAGGAATAAGTTTCTGTTGTTTAATCCATCCAGTCTATGATATTTGATATAGCAGCCTGAAATGACTAAGACACATGGTAAACTCATTTCCTCTGCTAGTAGTTATTATGCTAGTAGTTGCTAGGTGAGTATCTGACCTGGTCCTGGCCAATGAGATGGTAAGGGATACTTAGTAAAGCTGGGGGTGGAAGGATGGGGTCCTCTGGAAGATGTTTCTTTGAAACTAACAAGAATACACTGAAAAAGCTTGCCGTGTTTTATTCCTCTACATGTTATTGGCTAAGGATTTGACTCCTGATGCTACTGTAGCCATTATACAACCATAACTGAGGCTAGCTTGAGAACAAGCTTGGCAGCGACGGTGGCAGAGCTGGAAAAAATGGAAAGTCATAAATGTCATGAATGCCATTGAGCTGCTGAATTAATAATACTCTAGGTCAAACTATCTCCTAACATCTGGTTAACTGAGATTATACATTTATTGTTCCTCTATTAATTGGAGATGGTGTTGCAGATAGCATTCATTGTCTATGAGGAAGAAATACCAGTTCTTTGGGAGAACCAGTTTCTCTAGTAATTAACAGAAAATTTTCTTAAAGTCATTTTCATGTATAATTTCATAGGAGAAGCAATAAGAATTGGGATGTACCATCTCTCAAACAATATTCTTGTAGCAAATATAAAAATAGACTTCACAAGAATTTTTTTTTCGTTAGACTTTTAAGTTCAGGGGTACAAGTGCAGGTTTGTTATACAGGTAAATTGTGTATCATGGGGGTTTGGTATACAGATTATTTGATAAGCATAGTATCCAATAGGTAGTTTTTTTATCCTCACTCTACTCCTGCCCTCCACCCTCAAGTAGATCCCAACGTCTATTGTTCTCTTCTGTGTGTCCATGTGTACTCGATATTTAGCTCCCACTTATAAGTGAGAACATGTGGCATTGGGTTTTCTGTTCCTGAGTTAGTTTGCATAGGATAATGGCCTCCAGCTCCATCCATGTTGCTGCAAAGGACATGATCTCATTCTTTTTTATGACTGCATAGTATTCCATAGTGTATATGTACCACTTTTATTTATCCACTCTACCATTGACGGACATTTAGGTTGATTCCATGTCTTTGGTATTGTGAATAGTATTGCAATGAATATACATATGCATGTGTATTTATGATAGAATGATTTATATTCCTTTGGGTATATACCCAATAATGGGATTGCTGGGTCAAATGGCAGTTCTGTTTTTAGTTCTTTGAGAAATTGCCAAACTGACTTCCACAGTGGCTGAACTAATTTACATTTCCACCAGCAGTGTATAAGCATCCCTTCTTCTCTGCAGCCTTACTACTATCTGTTTATCTTTTGACTTTGTAATAATGGCGATTCTCACTGGTGTGAGATGGTATCTCACTGTGGTTTTGACTTGCAATTCTCTAACGATTAGTGATGTTGAGCATTTTTGCATATGTTTGTTTGTTACTTGTATGTCTTCTTTTGAAAAGTGTTCATGTCTTTTGCCCACTTTCTAATAAGATTGTTTGTTCTTTGCTTATTTGTTTAAGTTCCTTGTAGATTCTGTATATTAGATTTTTGTCAGATGCATAATTTGCATGTATCTTCTCCCATTCTGTTAAGTTGTCTATGTACTCTATTGATAGTTCTTTTGCTGTCCAGAAGCTCTTTAGTTTAATTAGGCGCCAATTGTCAATTTTTGTTTTGTTGCAATTGCTTTTGGTGTCTTTGTCATGAAATCTTTGCCAGGGCCTAGGTCCAGAATGGTATTTTCTAGGTTGTCTTCTAGGGATTTTTTAGTTTTGAGTTTTACATTTAAGTCTTTCATAAGAATTTTATGAGGACATAGCACCAAAAAGCAACTCAAAGAGAGCTAACTCTCAAGGGTAAACAACCTGGACAAATGTCTATAGTTTTTTGCTGATCTGAATTTATTTCAAAATAAATTCTAGTCTATCTAGAAGACTTTTCCCCAAAGAATGCATCAGAGGTTAAAATACTAATAGTAGATATTCTGGGAAAAAATAAAAAGGAAGAGGAAGTATAGCAGGAAGGGTATGGATGAAAAAAAAGGAGAAAGAATGCAGAATGGTTAAGTAAGTTTAAGAAATGCTGGGATAGCAATCTTAAACAATTCCTCAAAGGTTCTTAGTATGCTAATATGCATTAAGAATGTCCAAGAGGAGTACAGAACATGTAGCGTTTCCTAAATTAATCTGACCATAGAGCCCTTTATCATATAGAATATAAAAGAAATGATATTCTATATATTCTTCTATAGAGATCACACTAAAGGAAACTCTGAGCAATTAATACACAGAATATCTTCAAAATTACCACAGGTATCTTGGCTGCACACTACGCTTTTGACAAATATAGCCAGCAGTGCCAGGGTCGAGTTTCCTATGTCCCTTATCAAGTGCTGTCTGAGGGAGGCCTTCTGTAATTTAGACATTATTTAGGTACAGAGTGCTGTTGATATCCATTTTATGGAAAAGGAGAAGCCTGCTGGAAACTCTGCTGGAGTTGATCATCCCACCGACGCTTGGCCCTGGACCCGGAAGATTGGCAGTGAAATAAATTAATCAATGTTTATTACTTCTTACCCATGGTTTTACCTCCAGTGATCAATGTTTGCTCAGATTTTACTGATGAGAAACTTGGGGTTCTGTAATTTTTTCTTCTGCAGCAAGAATAGAACTAGTACTACTTTATTTGTTAATATCATCTAGTAGATGAATGTTATAAACTGGAAAATACATTCTGAGAGAAACTTCCAACAAACTATTATCATATCATTAAATAGAAACTAACTCAGTAACATACTGGGAAAGAAGAAAAAATAAATAAAAACTTATCTTTGAAATCCTAGACAAATCTGAAAATGAAATAAAAGCCTTAAATAGTCAAGCAGATAATTTAATTTAGAATGTTAACATGATTCCCTTTGTATCCCAACGAGCCTTACACTCCTTTAATGTGAGTTGATTAAAAAGCAATCTATTATTAAATCGAGACTAGTTAGAGAGAGATTAGTTACCATGAATATATTATAAATATGATATTTATACAGAGCTACAATTCCTTATCAATTTTCTTAGAAGGCTCTTCTTTTATGAATTCATCCAAGAAAAAATTAATCTATTGTTTTCCCTCCTCAGTTCCCCATCAAATTCTAACCTTGCTCATAGGTCAGGATTGTTCCAATTGATAAGTGTTGATAAAGCACATACTTAGTACATTCCAGATGCTGGAAGTGCAAAGCTGAAGAAGGCATGGTCCTTGACTTTAACAAGCTCAGAGCCTGCTAGAGACTGATGGGTACTTAGCTATACACAATCATAATGAAAACAGAGTGGAAAACACATATTAGTAAATATTAATCAATAGCAGTTGACTCAGAGGAGTTGGTTCTTACAATTTATGTAACATTCACTTTGAGTAATGAAGCTAATACTCAGACATTGCATCTACAGAACACTGAGCCAACCAGCTAACTAGCCAATTTGATCATTTGCATCAAATAACTGTTCAAATTCAATGATTTTGATGCTGTCATGTGCAGTCACATTTGTCAATCAAAATAATATTCAACCTGACAAATAGATATTGAGTGTGTACTATATTTAAACCATGTGTTCTGGGAGTGGGGGTGGAAGAACAGTAAGAGAAGATAAAGGAAGGAAGAAAGAATACAAAGTGAAAGAAGTGTTTGGGGCTTGAGAAACTTCTAAAAACAGAGGGAGAGATTAACTTGTAAGTAGTTAATTATAAAAGAAGACCAAATCAAAGGGACAAAGAACACAGTAGTATGGGAACAGAACAGAAAACAAGATGGGGGAGAGGATATTGGGAAAATTGTATAGGGTAAGTAGCATTTTGACTAAGCATTGAAAAAAAGAGTATGACTTTATTACACATTAAATAGAAATCTGTCCACCTTCCAGCTTTAAGCTTTAATCTTATATTCCTAAAACTCACCTTTGCCATTATTCTTGGAAGTCATCATTCTTGTTCCACTGACTATGTCTTAAATTTATGGCACTTAGGTACTTAGAAGGTTATCAGGAAATAACTTGCTTTTAATACCAACTTTTTCAGGTTATAATGGGATATGGGGAAAATCCACTTGTCATGAGGGTTATTTGACTCCAAATTTATGTCAGTTCATAGAGGCTTAGATCACAAACTCATTCTATGTAGCTTGAAAAATAGAATCCATATATCAAATGTTATAGCTGAGAAGTACACAAGCCATCATATAAACAAAATATCTTGAATTTAGAAATGTGAAAACCAGAAGCCTAAAGAAGTTAAAGGAATTGCTGAAGGTCACGTTGAAATTTTTGTAGCAGAAATGACACTTGAAATTGGGACTACATTTGAGCAAGCTGTTTTCTCTCCATCACACCCACCTTCCTTGATTTACTTGGATTGCCACTGGCTAAAAAATTTCCAATCACCAAACCACCTGGCTCCGTGAGAAGAGCTTTGTTTGGGTGCCTTTACTGACACTCTATATCTAGGAATTATTGTTAATGTGATAAAGCAAGAGCTCATGTCTTTCACTGGAAACTTTCCACATAAATCCCAAAATGGTTTTCAATGGTACCCTTGCTGTCTTCTTTCAACCACAACTTATGTATATTTTCCTGTCAAAAGGAATATGCTTTATGCACGAATTAGCATCTGTCTTGTTCATGCTGAATCTGTGTAATCAGTGTACTAATGAGAGAAATTACTCATAATCTTTGCCTTATGTTTTTTTCAATTTGATAAATTAAAAAGCAATGCCAAATTGCAGTTATGAAGATACAGCTGAGAAGTATGTTTAACTGCTGCAGCATCATACGGTCTTTATGGGAAGAAAAGCCGCATCTGCTTCTTCCGTAAGCTTGTTTGAGGAATGATTATACTCATGAGAGAAACACTAGTTCATGAATTCATGCAATTTTATGAACCAAACCAAACAAAACAAAAAGCCAATCAGCATGTCCTTGAAAAGAAATGATTTTTAGTTTCTGCAGTCTGTGTTGTATTCTTTGAAGAGCGGGCCAGATGATCCTAATTTCAAACTATTTAGTCCATTTTCTGCTTAATTAATATGCTTAAATATTAACAGTATCCCAAGGGCTTTCTACAGAGAAGTTGCAATATTGTATCATTGGATTCCTATGTTTAGGTTTATAATTCTCATTTAATTTTACCATGCAATAAAAACATTTATGCCCTGACATATTAAAGTACAGTACTGATGTGGAGAAAATTCACTGAGAGATGACTTTGTAACTGTGAATAGTATTATAATTGTTTCCATAAATATTATGTAATCATTTTTATTGCTAGGGATATATCTGTAAGTCCAGTGAGAGAAGACAGACGAGCCTCTGGTAGAAAGCATAAGAAGCCAGGCCGGGTACGGTGGCTCACGCCTGTAATCCCAGCAATTTGGGAGGCCGAGATGGGCAGATCACGAGGTCATGAGATCGAGACCATCCTGGATAATAAGGTGAAACCCCGTCTCTACTAAAAATACAAAAAAAAATTAGCCGGGCATTTTGGCGGGCGCCTGTAGTCCCAGCTACTCGGGAGGCTGAGGCAGCAGAATGGCGTGAACCCGGGAGGCGGAGCTTGCAGCGAGCCCAGATCGCGCCACTGCACTCTAGCCTGGGCGACAAAGCGAGACTCCGTCTCGAAAAAAAAAAAAAAAGTAAGTATAAGAAGCCAAAAAGATACATGAACAGGCCAGAAAGATACATGAAGTTTGAAAACATAAACACTAAACAAGTCACAGTGTTAAAGAAATAGCAAGCTCACTTCTGAATTACATGAATTCTTCATTGCTCTAATATACTACACAAGATTCAGAATTTAAAATACATATTCAAATGGAATTACAGTTTGTTATTTGAATCAGTGAATTGTGATTGTGAAAAATAATTTATTGCAATTTTAAGCAATAAAGAGTATAATATCCATATCAAAGAAGCTGGAGTTCTACTCTACTCAAAGTATAGCAGGAAAGGCAAAGACCTTTATAGAAGAATGCCAGCTAAGAAAGTTTAAAGGAATAAAATTAGAAATGGTGCAACTAGCAGTATAATAACTGATGAAGTCAAGGATGCTAAAACTTTAAGTATCAATTGTTGGAGAACAAGATACTACACAGTCTTAAAGTACTACCCCACATATTGTGTATAAAAGGAGAACACTGACTTTTATAATAGGGAGATTTGGGAACATCATCTTAACCAAATGTTTGCCAACTAAGACTGTATAGAACTCATTCGTTTTAAGTGTCATTTTTTAGCTTTCAAAACAAGGCTTTCCTGGATATGTAAAACAGAAAAGAAGGGCATCAGCTCTGACCCACTGCCCAGTATACATCTGAGAAAGAAAAAGAGAAAAAATATCAAAGAAAGAAATAAAGAAGTAAAAGAAGGAAGAGGAGGAGGAGGAGGAGCAGGAGGAGGTGGCGGAGGAAAGCAAGGAGAGAGATCAATCAGGCTTACCTGGCCCTATGGAAAATGGAATTTGGATAAAACAACTATGAGATTTAGCCTCTTTTGTATACTTATCTGGAGAAATACATGGAGAGTCTTTAACTGATTTGCTTCATGAAGGCCACAAAAGAAATTCATTGAGATAGACTGAATCTTCACTATACCTTAAGAGCTATATAAAAATATTTGCATATAACTTTAGAATGATTCTATATAAAGAAATTATAAATATTAATCTATACCTTGAAATGAATTTCTAGATCCTCCTCACTAGCTCACTAACAAAGTGATTTGGTCTGCTCTGGCCAGAACAGATTTTTTTTTCCTTGTCTTATTAGCTTCTGCTCCTCAGCTTCCCATTGTCTTACACTTGCAAGCAACCCTGGACTGTTAACAGTCACTTCCTTCTTCTAACCATCTATGATTACACTTGCTTCAAGATCACTTTAGCCTGCTGCTAGTTACTTACTACTGGAGAATGGCTTCTCTTCTGATATGTGTGATTCTAAAGCTCTCTGTTTCTCCATCATGTTCATGGCCAGATGCCTCATGTGTAGCTCATGCAATGGGTCTGGAGGGAATAGCTAGTCCTTTTGGCTGGAAGAGTAATTGGGATCAACTCTAGGTTGACGATTTACCTCTTCCTTAAGAATGGATTCCATGACACTCCATGTATACCTCTATTAAATATCTTTTCCAGCTGTCTCTTTCACCTTTAACATGACCATCATCATCCTCACCAAGACAACCCAGACAGCCGAAGTGGATTCCTGAACTTGGCAGATTCTGAGTCTGTGTGATGATAAGAAACAAACAGGAGACCAATACTTAAAACGCAACTTGCAATCTGGGTGTAAGAAATTCAAAAGGGTAGAGGCAAGGAAACAAGGCAGGAATAGTCCACATTTGTAAATAATGGAATTTGCAAAATAATGAGAATTGTCATTTCAGTGTTTCTGAAAAGCCATTTCAAATAAAATTTTTACTTTATCTTAATTGACTTGTTCAATAACATCTTATTGAACAAAATATTTCAACAAACTGTATATCAATTGAATAAAAACTCAGCTTTTTCACCATGGGTAAAAGATGTGAGTTTTCATATTGTCCTATTATTTTAGCTGGAATTTAAGACAATAAAGTCTACTTGTTTAAAAGGAGAAAAGTAAAAGCAGCTGCCCTCCATTGAGGGCTTACAGTACACCAAGCACCACACTAATATTTTAATATATTATCTTACTTTGTCTTACAATTATATATGTGGTAACAGTAACTACTCTCATTATATAGATGTGGAAACTGAGGCATTAAAAGATTAAGTAAAATGCCCATGATGATAAACTTCTTAAGGAGCACATCTAAGCTTTACACCTGGGCTGTCTGATTCCAAAAGACATGCTAATAATTATAAACTATACAAAAGATAGAAATGGGGAGTTCAGAAAGCTGGCTTCCACCTAAAGTAAATGTCCACATTTAGGCTGTAGCTCTTTCATAGCACCAGGCACTTTGATATTCTTAGGTGAACTTGAGGTGCTCTCTGTTTGCCATACATCTCCCTTTACAGTCAACTCACTGGTTGAGGCAAACTGTCCAACGTGAATGATGTCTTTCCATCCAGTCCAGCATGTTGCCAAGCATACTATGGGATACTGGCAAAACTGGAGGAAACTGAACTATGCAGTGAATTCCTCAGTCTGTGGACTTTCAGATAAAATGTGTTTGCCCAGAGAGCTCTGTGTTCTGTCACTTGTTTGTTCATGCTGGAATCGGGGTGGGTGCCCTACAATGCAGGCTGCAAAACAACAGATGATGCTGTGCTGGTCACTATGGAAACCAGACTTCTGAAAGGAAAGAATCCACTCTTGGCACTGCTACATGAGTACACTTTCAACAATTGACTATCTTTCCATCGTAGAGGTCTGATTTCCTGACATTTCTTGAAGAAACCCAGTTTTAAAAATCAATTGTCCAGCGTGTGCTTAATGTGCAGTTTTAAAGCATGTTTGGTGTATTTTTAACTGCTTGTATAGCAGAATAATGGATACCTAAAGATTTCTATCTCTTAATTCTAGAACCATCTAGAATCCATCTATATAGATATATAGATGGATATGTAGATGTATATATCTATATATCTATATGGATATATAGATATATCTATGTGATATAGAATATGCTACTGTGTTCCCAAGATATTGGGGAGTATTTTACAATTCATAACAGAAAGCCAAGAAGACTCATGTTAGAAATTAGTATATCCCAAAGTATTAAAATTAAACTAATATTAAATTTTTCTATTATCCGATAAACAATTTTTGAGTGCCCATCACATTTAAGACACTGCCCTATGTGCAATGGAGTATAAACATATGTTTCTCCTATTTCTCAAGGAATTAATAATTCCTCAAAAAATAATAATCTACAACAGGATATATACACACACACACACACACACACACATGCACACATCTATATTACGAGGTAAAAGGTGGTAAGAGAGATATAAAGATACAGATAAAGAGCGACAATGGCAAAGAGAAGCTACAATGCCTGAACAACTATACTGGCTACATGTAGCCATATTTCAAGGACCATTTCTAATCCTCATTCTGCAGATATGTACAATATATTCCCTATTTTAAGACTAAGAAAATCAGACTCAGAAAAGTGAATTACCCAAGGCCTACTGGCTAGGTTTTGATGCTGACAAATTGCTTATGGAAAAACAACAACAACAACAACAACAACAAAGGCTTGTTTTGTTTTGATAACCCCAGGTCGGAGCTACGTACCTGGTATTAATTCTCAGTGTTTTACATCTTTATAAAAATGTATGAAGTAGGTTGTTCTTATTATATTATTCTTATGTTCCAGGTGAGGAAACAGAGGCACAGAGAGGTTAAGCATCCTCCCCAAAGTCACACACTTAGTGAGTGGAAGGGCCATGACTTAAACCCAGGCATCCTGACTCTAGAGTCCATTGCTTAACCAGTTTTCACACAAATGCTTCTTTAGCAATTGCTCTCTCAATGAATACTGAAGGTTTTCTTATAAACCTGTTTTAAACTGAAGCTTAATGCACTGCCTGATAGGAAACCACAGAACTTGTCATTTTTATGGATGTGAATTAATATGATTATATTTTCTTTGGGGAGTGTTCAAACAGAAAATAACCTTTAGTGAAGTAGTAAAGAATAATTTTTATATTTGTGACAAGCACCTGAGGCTCGGTGTGCCTCCTGCTGTAACTTCAGTGGAAAGTTCTCAAGGCTTAAGCCATTTATTCTAAAGTTCCTGAGGGTTAGAGAACTCTCTCATTAATTTTCTTGGTGTTGTATAAATATTACATGAAACTGGTTGCATGCTTTAATTATAACCTATTAAACAAAGCCATTTTCCATGTGCTTCTTCCCTTTTTCATTTGGCTCTTACATTCCTTTGAATTGCCCTCCAAACACATCTCCAGAGAATTGGACAGTTGACTAAATGACAGAATATGTGAAGAAAAATTTGAAGTGAGAAATTCTCCAGGTGTCTGTTTCTCCACTTCAGAGCAGCATTATTTTCATCTGTTTGCATTTCCCAGCCTTGTTAGGTGTCACAGTGTTTTTGGCAAAGTAATAATAGAATTTTTCTGGAGGAACTGGGGGAAAGGAACACATACAGCAATTTGTGATGAGCTGTTTTTCAGTGAAGTGTGACAATGGCATAGCCCTGCCTTTCTGTAAGCCCAGACTCATCTTGGGGATTTGGCATGAGGTTGTTTCACAATTATTTCTTTTCTTAGAATGGGAGAAATTCAAATATTTTATTCTCAACTTAATCTAAAGTTTTGTACTGGAAGCTGTGAGTCTTACTCTCAACTTCTCATTTGCTACGAAATAATAAAATGGAGATGGTAAGCCACTATGATTGGGTAGAATGAGGACAGATGCATAGTCACCTATGGGCTAGCCTCTTGGCACCCATATTCTTATTTCATCCTCAAATAATCTCAATTTGTAGGTAAGGAAATTTAAACTCACAGCAACTAAGAAATTTGCCCAAGTTCACATTGGCAGTGATCAAAGTCCCATCAATCTGATTTATCTTAAAATGCAAACACATTCAAAAGCTATACAAAAATATTTTCTTTCTTTATATCACTATACTATAAGTTTTTTTCTATTAAAAAGTTGTTTTTTAATAGAAATCACTGTCCCCTATGTGATCCGTCATTGACCGAAATGTTGTATGGCTCATGGCTGTTTACTTGTGTGAGGGAGAATTGTTTGTAAACTGCTAAATACATCAAGTTGCAGAGATATACTTATCAGTTATCTTTGTAGTACCACATGAAAAGTAATTTAAGAATACTACAAAGAAGAAATTGTGTTACCCATGCTCATGCCTAGGGGTTCATGCCAGAAACATGAGACCATAGACAAAAGGTAACAAGACAAATTTCCACTGGTAAAGATAGACTGTCTGGATTTGCACTGATTCAGGAGTTTGGGTAGAAGTAGGCCTGGAGATTGACAGTTCCCAGAATCTGCAACATGGTGGAGGATAAGCGGAGGGGAGCAAGGCTGAATCACAGGGATGCAGCAGCCCCTGCCACAGAAACGCAGCATATTTTTTCTAGGTTCCCCCATCCCGCCCGGAAAAAAAAAAGAAAAGAAAATTAAAAAAAAAATTTTAAAAAGTGCCATCTTCCTGAGGACTGTCACAATTTATATTCTAAGTAGTTCATAGGTCTGCCTATTTTACTAAATTCTAACAAACCTTAAAAAATTGCTCTCTTATTAAAGAATTATTTTTCCAGAATTCTTATCAAGCTAATACTAAAATTAAAAGGTAACAGTGACATATTTCTCTGATGAATTAAGAAACTAACTGGTGCTGGGCATGGTGGGGTATGCTTGTAATGGCAACTACTCCAGTGGCTGAGGTTGGAGGATCGTTGAGCCTGAGAGTTCTAGGCTAGCCTGGGCAACATAGCAAGACACCATCTCTATTTTTTTTTAAAAAAGAAAGAAACAAATTAACTAGTCTGAGATCTCAAAGACTTGAGCAAGCAAGAGATCAAAAAATAACTAAACAATAAATCTTGATAACCAGCCTAACACTACAGACAAAAGTAAAGTTGAGGCTGCTAGGACTATCATTTATGCTTTAGAAGTTTTCTGAAAATAAGAAAGGAAAGAAAAAAATCAGGATTCATTATAACATTTCTACTTAGCTTTGGAAGCACCCCTGAGAGTACTAAAGGCACCTTCTTAAAAACACAGATT
Source organism: Homo sapiens (assembly GCF_000001405.40). Classification (NCBI taxonomy): domain Eukaryota; kingdom Metazoa; phylum Chordata; class Mammalia; order Primates; family Hominidae; genus Homo; species Homo sapiens. The sequence continues at coordinate 153,852,403 of NC_000003.12, forward strand.
TTAAGGCATAACCTCAAAGATTCTGATTTCAATAGGCCTAGGTTTGAGGCCAGGGATCTATATTTTTAATAAGATCCCAGGTGATTCTGAGACAGGCAGTTTTCAGAGCACATGTTGAGGAATGCTGGCCCCTAGCCTCAACTCTGGCTATACATTGAATCAACAGGGGAGCTTTTAAAATCTCAAATGGCCAAGAGCCACCGATGAAGGGATTTGCAAAGTGTTGAGAAGGTTGTGAACATTAAACGCATTTTAAAACCTTATGAGAGGATTTTGAAGCATTAGGAATCTTGAAATGGATTCTACAATACTTAGATTTCAGTTATTAGAGAGGTGTGTTAAACATAAATTTTAGACAACCAGATATTACGACACACTCTACTTTTTATTTTACTAAAACAAGAAAAGAAATAGAGTAAACTCCACAGACTATTCTTGAAAAAGATAATAAAATCAGGTTTTATGAGAAGTTCTTCACTAAAATACAAAATAAATAATAAATAAATAAAATGTTACTGCTTTCCCAGTAGAGTCTCTTTGTACAATTAGGATGAAATTTTTTATTGTTGTTTTTGAGTTATATGTACCTGAATTTGGAACTGTGAAAAGGTTTTAATTGTGAGAACAAGTATTTATGCCTCTTTTCTAGTATTATAATTAGTGATTTGTTTACTTAATTATTTTAGCGACTTATCTTGAGAAGGCTTAACTCTTCGAGGTTCAAACCTACTTTATTAGGAGTCATCTTTTAGATAATCCATAAAACATTGACAAGTAATTTTTATAAATTACAAAAATTGGTTCTACCACTATCAGTTGTTCCAAAGGCTAATGACAGGCTTATCATTTCTCCCCAAGTTTCATTAGGCAGATATTGTCAGAAAGGTATTTACCATCAGTGACATGTTTGCAAAATCAATAGTGGTAATGAGGAACTGCTCTCTTTTGGAAATGGAAGTGAAATATGGCTGTCATTTTATTTGTCACATGCCTTGAATCAGTGATCTGGGTCTTTCTGAACTAGCCAGCTGTGTTATTGGTCACCCACAGGCAGGCAGAGAATTTGGTAAATGATAGCAAGCTACATAGATTAAGGTGATGGACAAGTAGGTAAGAATTTCTGGATGCTTCTAGAAAACAATAAAATCGATGACCACAGGATAGGAAAAGGGTTAGTTGAAGTAGGATGTGTTGAGTGGTAAAAAATAAAGTTTTGGCAGCCACATGCCACTTTATTTTTATTTTCAAAAATAAATTTAAAGATAGAGCATTTGAATATGTAGGACAGTGAATCCACTAAGAGGATTTGGAATTGAAACTAGTTATTCCTATATTTAATTGCTCCATAAAGCCCCAAATGTTTTTGGCTTGACTTTGATTTGCACTAATCTAGGTCCCTCTAGTTCTGCTCAGTGAATTTAAGATCACGACTTATTAAATAAAAACCTGATAACTTAAAGGAGATGATAAATCTCAACTAGGTAAGCATTAACCTACATATTTATAAGCTCAAAACAGAAAGCATGTATTTTCATATTCGGTGATTTCAAATCACTTTCTCATTAAAAAGCAAAAACACAACAAAAGTGTTGCATTTACAGGGAATTGTCTTGATTGGTTTGGAGCCTTATTGTATCTGAGTCCCCCAGAATGCAAGGCAGGAACTTTATTATTTTACAGCTTTGTTATTGTTGTTCTAAGATATGCTACCTCATAGTAGGCACTCAATAAATACTTGCTGAATGGATGGATGTTTATCTACAGAGAAACAGACTCTAATGACAAGATTTACTACATTTTAACAATATGCTGATACATATATATATATATATATATATAAAACAAGTGAAAAGAAAGACAGGTTGCAAACTAAGAAAAAAGTATGTGTAGAAAGGCCCTGATAGAAAAAATTTAAAAGATCTGCAGAGAAACGAAAAGGAAAAATCATAGTTTATATAATAGATTAGCTGTTAATAGTCATAACAACATAAACACTACATATTGATCTAACCAAAATTACAATATGACAATTAGAAGAATGAGCAATAGAGAAGGATATTTGTTTGCGGTGCAGAGATATCATTTTTCATCTTCCGTGATAGCAAAGCAATCGATAAAGCCTAAAACTGAAAGTTCAGGAAGTAGTAACGTAAGCATGAAATTTAAAACATGAAAATTAGTCTCAAAATAATCAGCTAAAATAAACAAAAGTAGTTGGCTGTGAGGAGTGGAGAATAGATGGACTTTGGTTTTCTGTTCCTTTGTTTGTTTGTTTATTTGTTTGATAATAAAATTTCCAGAAGCTCTTCAGAAAGCCAAAATTACAAGGGTGAGGATCTCATGATTGGATTAACACTTTTATGAAAAGAGACACCAAAGAGCACTCTCTCTCCTATTCCCCCTTCCTCTCCCCTATTCCCTCTTCCTCCCCACTCCCTCTTTCTCCCCCTTTCTCTCTCTCTGTCTGCCATGTGAGGACACAGGCAAGAGACAGCAATCTGTAAAACAGGAAAAGAGCTTCACCAGAACCTGACCATCCTGGCATCCTGATCTCAGACTTCAGGCTTTCAGAACTGTGAGAAAATAAATTGCTGTTTTGAAGCCACTCAGACTATGTTAGTTTTTACAGCAGCCCGAGGTGACTACGACATCCATTTACTATGACAGTCTAAATTTTCTAGGACTCAACCACGGTATTTCAGATAACATCTTTACTATATCTATTACAAATCTGTAAATCCTGAAGTGAACTTGTTTTGAAACAATGGACCTGTTGTAGATTTCCCAGTATCTCTCTAGGGGTGGTGTCTTACTCTGATAGATGAACTAACAGTGGCTATCTTTCTAAATTTACTCTGCTCATGGACACACCTCATTTTCCAGTTTATGGTGAGAAAGTAAATTGTTTATTAAAAACAATCAAAGTTAATCGCAAACATTTTTGCAAAAATCAATAGAATTTTTTTACATTGTTTTCATGTATAGGAACAATATTATAATCCAGTTGTATATTGGCAATTTTCGTTGCTGTATTTTCAAATAATTTTATACTCAAAAATACTCAGATATCCTGTTTTTAAGTAAACACATGGATATTTCAGTTTAATATACATATTTAATTTCAAGCAGTATGTCAGTAGGAACGTGTCATGACTGGTGCCTCAGCATTGATGAAAACATATTTATCTTGGTATTATCAGTTGAACTGGTGAGGGAGCCTAGGGAGCTGATCTGAGTTAATGTTTATGAGCAAAAACATGTTAAAAGGAGAGGGAAGAATTTCCAAAGGAAACTGGGGAAAAGGGATCTGTCCCCTGGACTGGCCCAGGGTATTTTGCTGGAGAGAGAAACAGGAAGCAGAGGTTGACAAAAGTTTCCTGAGGGTTATGGAAGTTGAGGGGAGCAAGTTGTACTGCTTTGATACCCAATGATAAAACATAATCTGCAGAGAGGGCATTTTCCCAATTCAGTGCTCCCTGTTCCCATTCACACCACAAGCCTCCTATTGCAAGCACCTGTGGCCCTCTGCCTGAGGCCCTTCTCTTGTTACAGGAACATGCTCTAAGTATTGGGGTGTCAGCACCACCAGGGGCCGCCTTCAACCAGTAAGAGATGAAAGTTGGTAGTAAATCTTCTAGCTTCCTTGAAACTCATTTGTGACAATTTGAGGTATGTTCTCTGGGGTCCCAGAGTCCCACATCAGGATAGAGCCCCAGCTACCCACAGTGGCAACCTGCCCTTTGGCACATTCTCTTGGCTTCCCTTATATCTGTCTCACTTCATACACTCCCCTTTCCTATCAATGCCTTCTAGGATCCCCTCTCAAAAAACTACTCAGTCTATGGGAAATAGTCAAATCCTAATCTATGGGACTTAAACCTACCAGCTGTAATTCATGCTACACTCAACCTCCAGAGAAACCCTTTTGAAAGAAAAAATTGCACACATGATCTGTCCGGAACCTACCTGCTTCCCCTCACACTACCATCAGTCATTACTCTCCAGTCACATTGGTTTTTCTGTTTCTCAGACAGCATCAAGTCTTCTTTGGAGTAAATTGTAAGAAATATCCCCGAAAAGTTCACTATTGTGTGTAATGTAAAAGTGTGACTAAGTGGTAAAATGTCGGAGGTCAATTGCTACGGTTTGAGTGTGTCCCCAAAGAGCATACACTGGAAACTTCATTCCCAATGCAACAGGATTGTGAAGTGGAGCCTAATAAGAAGTGATTAAACCATGAGGGATATGTCCTCATGAATGGATTAAAGCTGTTGTCATGGCAGTGGGCTTGTTATTATAAAAGGACAAGTTTGACCCCCTTTTCTCTTTCTCTTCTGCCTTTTGTCACGGGATGACACAGCCAGAAGGTCCTCAACAGACACTGGCCCTTTAATCTTGAACTTCCCAGACTCACAAGCCATAAGAAATAAATTTCTGTTCATTATAAATTACTCAGTCAGTGTTGTTCTGTTACAGCAGCACAAAATGAACTAAGGCATCAAAAAAACAGCTTTCTACTGATGGAGCTGATGAGAGGAGGAGCTTGACCCTGTGGCAAAATGGGCTCTCTGTGGCTTCATCTTTAATTGAAACATTTACCAGCTGAGTCACAGCCAAAGATGGGCAACAGCAGTCTATTCCCCAATCCCCAGAGGCTGAGCTGAACCCTGAAATTTTCTCTAAAGACACAGAGAATTCAGACTCCCAGCAGGCAGGTTGGCTCCAGAAATTATAACAATAGAAGGGGCTGAGCTATACACATTCCTTCTCCCAAATTATTCAGTCAGGTGACTCACTCCTCTACACTTAGAAGCAGCGGAAGGAGTGGGAAATAACCTTCTAGTGTAGCACTTTGGCTTTCTCTCCTGAAGAAGGGAATGAATAGTCCTTTATCTCTGGAAAACATGGGCTGGGTGCAGTGGTTAACACCTGTATTCCCAGAACTATGGGGGGCTGAGGTGGGCAGATCACTGAGGTCAGGAGTTAGAGACCAGCCTGGCCAACATGGTGAAACCTTGTCTCTACTAAAAATAGAAAAATTAGCCAGGTGTAGGGATGGGTGCCTGTAATCCCAACTATTCAGGAGGCTGAGGCAGGAGAATCACTTGAACCTGGGAGGTGGAGGTTACAGTGAGCAGAGATAGAGCCGCTGCACTCCAACCTGGGCAACAGAGCAAGACTCCATCTCAAAAAAGAAAGGAAAGAAAGGAAGGAAGGGAAGAAGGGAGGAAGGGAGGAAGGGAACACAAGACAAGGGAGGGCTTCTTTTTCCTAAAATGTAGGATGCTGTTTACTATGTACACATGATGTCTTTACTGAGACTCAATAGGAAAAATCTCAGATTTCATGCTAAAAATAACTATTATATTTACCAGCTAATTTGTTCTTATGGCTTTTCTCAGACTGTTAGGTGTTGTAGTCTGAATGTGTTCCCCAAAATTCATGTATTAAAATTTAATCACCAATGTGATAGTATTGAGAACTGGGACAATTAGGAGGTGACTAAGTCATGAGAGCAGAAAAAGAGGCTGAAGGGAGTGTCTTAGTCCATTTTCCCCTTTTGCCTTCCTGTCCTTTCTGCCATGTGAGGACACAGCATTTGTTCTCTCCAGAGGGCACAGCCACAAGGCACCATCAGAAACAGACAGCATCCCTCACCGGGCACTGAATCTTCTGGCACTTTGATCTTGGACTTCCCAACCTCCAGACCTGTGAGAAATACATTTCTATTATTTATAAATTACCTAGTCTAAGATAATTTGTTATAGTATCAGGAACTAAGACAAGATTTGTTGTCTCCTCCCATCAAGCTTTATTAAGGTATAATTGGCAAGAAAAATTGTATATATTTAGGATGCACAACATGATGTTTTGATATGCCTATACACTGTGAAATGCCTACCACAATCAAGCTAATTAGCATATCCATCACCTCCCATAATTACCATTTTTTTGGTGATGAGAATATTTAAGATCGACTCTGTTAGCAAATTTCAAGTATACAAGATTATTGACTATAATAACCAAGCTGTACATTAGATCTGCAGAACTTATTCTTGCATAACTGAAACTTTGTACCTTTTGACTAATGTCTTCCCATTTTTCCCACTCCTCGACCCCAGGAACTCACCATTCTTTCCTCTGCTTTTATGAGATTTACATAGAATTTTTTGTAGTATTTTTTTTCCCCAAATTAGCTACTAAAAATGCAGAACCAAATCTGTGGTTCACTTCTACTAAAGCAGATAGGAAAATAGGGTAGGTATGTTGAGTAGTAACTGTAGTACCGGATCTTATTTTTCCTACTTTAATTTCTACTTCTGATACATACAGTTTTAACTGATTTCATTCTGATAGAAGTGTAAATGTTTTTGTGTGTACCTCATATTCTTTTCTGAAAAGCCTGGTTATAAGAAGTATTTTCTTTTCTTTATTATTATTTTTTTTTGAGACGGGGTCTCGCTCTGTCACCCAGGCTGGAGTGCAGTGGTAGGATCTCGGATCACTGCAAGCTCCGCCTCCAGGGTTCACGCCATTCTCCCACCTCAGCCTCCTGAGTAGCTGGGGCTACAGGCGCCCGCCACCACACCTAGCTAATTTTTTGTATTTTTAGTAGAGACGGGATTTCACTGTGTTAGCCAGGATGGTCTCGATCTCCTGACCTCGTGATCCACCAGCCTCGGCCTCCCAAAGTGCTGGGATTACAGGCATGAGCCACCGCAGCCAGCCATAAGAAGTATTTTTTAAATTAATACTATAATAATCATTTTAGCAGGTTCATAACATCCATTCATTTTACTAGGTTTCTAAACCATTTCTGTATTATCTATTTCTTAGGCTGTTTCCCATGTGTCACTGATATATGTAAAACTGCAATCTTCTTTATGTAGACAGCTTTTTTTTTCTTTAGCATTATGTCTCTAAGAATAATTCCTATGTGTTGGATAACTGGAGCCAATGAATACAAGCAGTTTTCTGGCTTGTATATATTTTTCCACATTGCTGTCATAAAAGTTGTAACAAATTATTACTACCAGCTATGGATTGTTACCATTTTCAACAAAACTTTTCCAGCCTTAGTTATAAATGTTAAAAATGTTTGCTAGTTTAATAAGTACAAAATGACTATTTTTTTTTGGCTAACATATTGTTACTCCAAAATGTTGCTGATTAATTGTATTTCCCATTATATAAAATGAATGTTAACACATTGACTTATATATTTGCTAAAAAAAATTTGGGTTTTTAATAAAATTTTTTAATTTTTTTCTCCTAATATCCCTTATATGTCAAAATGTATTAAAAGTTCATTCTTTAGAATTGAAACTTAATCAGTTATATTTTGGCAGGTTTCCAATTACACACACATATATATGTATATTTATTCCAATTACACACACACACACACACACACACACACACTTTTAACTCAATCTTCTTAAAGTTTGTTTTCTTAGAGAGTCTCACTCTGTCACCCCAGCTAGAGTGTAGTGGTGCCATGATAGCTCACTACTCACTGTAAGTTCAAACTTCTGAGCTAAAGTGACCCTCCTGCTTCAGTCTCCCCAGTAACTGGGACTACAGGTAAGTGCCACCATGCTCAGCTAATTTTTTTTTTTTTTTTTTTTTTTTGGTAGAGACAGGGTCTTGCTTGTTGCCCAGGCTGGATTCCGACTCCTAGCCTCAAGCAATCCTTTGCCTTGGCCTCCCAAAGTTCTGGGTTTACAGGCATGATCCACCCTGCCTGGCCTAAAGTTTATCTTGATGTGTGGTGTAAAGTTTAGCGGGATTATCTTTCCTATTTTGACTAATTAGAGATGTTTGATAGAAAAAAAACAGAATTTTTCTATGTTTATTTTTTCTTTGTTTTATTTTTATTTTCCACTATGGCCTAGGCTGTTGAATATTTACTAAATACTACGCAGACATTTCAAATTATAGGTAAAGCATTAAAAGATGGTAAGGTGTCAAAGGAAAAATGATTAAAGATGCGCACTATTCTTGCAAGAGATCAGTTGAAAATATTTTACTGAATGTTGTACTTATATTTTCCATGCATTAGTAGTATGAGCCACATTCTATCAACTTCACATTTACTCATTTGGAGTAATGACACTGGTTTCTGCTGTCAGGAAGTTTATAGTGTAGAATATTCACTTAAATCGGTGAATCACATGTTATAATGTCTATGCCTGCACTACTGGACAGACAGAGGAAACTCATACTCAGCTGCTTTGTGTTTTTCTAGGGTGAAAATAAAAAACAAGATAAAATAAAAGGCAAGGAAATAAAAGGCATTTTTTCCAGATCTATTTTAATTGTTTTCAGCTCCAGTGGAAAAAAAAATTCTTTGATATCAACTATAATATAAGACATGACTTCTTATTTTAGGAATTCCGTTGGTAGTGGAACCAAATATTATAGAATGATAATATAATGTCAGTGTCAATTGGAGAACTGAGAAGGAACAAGGCAGGAGGGGATCAAGTAAAAGGTGTGAATCTCCTGAAAGACTTTTGTAAAGGAAACTAGCTCAACAGTTGCCACATCAAACCATTAGTGTTTGGGACTGGGAATTTATCCACTTACAAAATGGAGTTTATGTTTACACAAATGAGAGAATACCTTTCCCTATGACCTATCAACATTTTTAACTTTATAATTAGGCTTTTGGTTAACAGTTTTGAATAATAATTTATAACCAAGAGTAGTTAATGTGGTCGTGCCACCAAGTCTCATTCATTTGCTCAAAATTAATAATTTTTTTAATTGTGGTAATCATCTCACAATGTTTTTGTATATCAAATCATCACTTTGTATGCCTTAAATATATACATTTTTTATTTGTTAATTATACCTCAGTAAAGCTGAAAAAAACATTTTTTGCTAGGTAATTTTGGAAATACAAACTTCATCTATTTTATGGATGCATTTCTAAAAAGAGACAGAAGCCATTAGTGAGTTGGTAAATTTACATTTGTTTGAAGGTCTTTATTAATAGGAAACATCACTGGCTTACTAAATCAAATACAGGATTCAGTATTGTCCATTAATATTCCTTTAGGATTTACAATTTGCTTGGAAGAGTAGAGCAGAACCACAGAAAAAATGATATGAATTAAACTTTAAGGTCATGTATAGCTCTAACTTTCTACAAAATTTCAATATGTACAATTCATTTAGAATGAAGCAGCTTATTTGCTCCATTTGGGACATGTAACTATAAAATTAATAGCTATATTATTCTTTTTCATTGTGAAGATATCAGGAGAATAATTTATCTGGCTTCTCTCACTCATAAGGGAGCATCACAAAGTTCCTTATTATAAAATAATTATTAAGTACCTAAAACTGTACTTAGAATTAGCGTCAAAGAGTTCAAGCAATCTAAAAAGTTTTGTAACACTCCTGATTTTCCTCCCATTATAATTGTTATTTACTTAAAATATGTATGAGGAAAGCTGAGAAAGATAGGATAATTTTCATATTTAAGATAACTAAAATTGAAAAATAATAACCTAAAACATATGCTGATACTTGGAACTACTAGTTGGCTCCTGAATTTAATAATACTTTGAAGAGACGTTGATCAAACCCCTAACTAAGTTTCAGTTTGGAGAAATAAGTTTTTGAGATCTACTGCACAGCATGGTGACTATAGTTAATAATAAGGTATTATATATTTCAAAATTGAGATGAGAATAAATTTCAAATATTTTCATTATAGGAAATGAACATGTGAAGTGATCAATATGTTAATTCACTTGATTTAATTATTTTGCAATGTATACATATATCAAAATGTCATATTGTACCCTATAGATATATAATATACAATTTTTATTTGTAAATTACAAAAAATTTTAATGCCCAAATTAGAGAAAAGATTTTTAAGATAATTATAGTAAACAAAATTTAAGAAGCTTTTTAAAGACACCATGCTAATAGTTATAGGTGAAAATGAGGTTGCCAAGTTGACCAAACATTAACAGGAGGGCATATACTTGTAGCTTAATGATTTGTTCCAACTCTTGTCTAGCCCCGCCTATTAACACACCTTTCCATCATTGAGTGAAACAAAACTAAATGAAAACATATGAAACAAATCTATGCTCAGGACAGTGAACTATAGGAAAACCTTCTGGGCAGTAGATTCATAAGTTTCAATGACTAGACAGCAGAATAACAACTATTTTAAAAATGTTTTCCTAGATTCTTACCCAAAGCAAAGCAAATATCTGAGCACTATAAATACAATTCTACACAGACTATAAACCTTTTCCTTTACTTTAAGGATATGCAAAATATTTTAGAATCATAAATAGATACCATACTATGACGCACAAGAGGATTTTCAAAACTTATTCATTGATATGCATTGGTTTTCAGTAAGTATATTATGTAAATATTATTTCAGAATATTTTGAAGAAACTCAGGCCTAAAACATAACTATACTGGTTTTACCAAGGACTTCCATACACTTAGGCCTCTCAGTCAAACAATCACTACTCGTTAAATCAATTTGGTGCAGCTGTTTTTTATTAAGTTCAATTTTTGCTATCACAAAATATTTCATCAGTATGGCTAGAGTAATGGTGAGAATTTAATGACATACTAACCCCAGGGATTTTGTAATATCAAAACAAGCCTCCAAAAGTCTTATTTGCATGAAGAATCTCTAATATTTTGGGTTAAATGGTAAAAAGCAACTTGAAACCAGAAGTTAGATGTTAGGTACCTAGGTACCTCAGGATTAACATTCTTAAATAAATGTCTTAGGCTCTGACGAGGAGGAATGGGATGGGATATTGTACACACCTAATAGGTAAGAAATAGTCTTAGGGTAGGAGAGAATCAAAATCTACTGGATGAAATCTTAGAGTATCAATAGAGACATGTTTAGTATTTCCCCATGATACTATCCTTGGACATGTTCCAATTGCTTCAAGAGAGTTGGCTATAAGAAATTTTAAAAAGGTAAATATTATTTTAGGAATAGCTATACAGCTGCATCAGAGACTCAACAATAATTCAGTAATTTAGATTCAACAGTAAGAAGACAAAAATATATCCCTCTTTCAATTAACGGTCTAAGGTGAGCATCCCAGACAATGAATGGCTCTACTCCAAATGATCATTCAGGAATGCAGCTTTCTTCTGTTTCTCTGAGAAGTCTCTAGGGCAATGGTTTTTAAAGTGTGGTTCATAGAGCCTTTGAGTATTACAAGACTTTACAGGGAGATTGTGAGGTCAGAACTATTTCTATAATAATATTTATATTAATATTAACTCATATTAATACTAGCAACAAATACTCATATTAGTAATACTCCTCATAGTAATGTTACTAAAAATAACACATTCTTTGCCTTTTCCCCAGTGATGACATTAACTCTGATAATGTAATAAAAGGCAGTGGCAACAAACCACAGTAGGAATCGTTGGAATCTTTGCCACCACACACTGACAGTTTTGTAAAAAAAAAGCCACATTTTTATCAGAATTTCTTTGATGAAGCATTGAATATTACGAATTTTATTAAAAATTTTACCTTTGAATATCTGTGTTTTTAATATTCTAGTTGACAAAATTGGAAATACAGATCCTTTCTCAAGGGAGGAGCAAGATGGGCAAATAATATCCTACACTGTTTGTTTCCCCCACAAGAAGACCAAATTTTTACAACTAACTCCACAGAAAAAGTACTATCACAAGAATAAGATATCAGATGAGCAATTGGAGTATCTGGCTTTAATTTCATATCACTAAAAAAGGCACTGAAATACGGTAGGAGAGACAGTCTTGAATTACCAATGCCACACCTCCCCCATCTCCCAGCAGCAGCCATGTGGCATGGAAAATCTGTACTCTTGGGAGAAGGAAAGCACAGTGATTTAGGGACTTTATATTGAACTCAGTGCTGCCCTGTCACAGCAGAAAGCAGAACCAGGCCATATCCAACTGATGCTTGCTCATGGAGGTAGCATTTGGACCAGCGCTAGGCAGAAGGGAATTGCCCATCCCAGTGGTTAGAGCTTCAGTTCTGGCAAGCATCACCACTGCAGGTTAATGTGGTTTGGAGCCCTAAATGAACTTTAGGGGTAGCCTAGGCCACAAGGACTGCAGTTCCTAGGCAAGTCCTAGGACTGAGCTTGGCTCAGAGACAGTGGCCTGTGTAGAGGGGGGCACATGGCCTACTGAGACATCAGACAGAGCAGATAATAGAGTGCTTGTGCCACCCCTCCCTCATCCCCCAGCAGCAGCCACAAGGCATGGAGAAATCTGTGCACTTGAGAGAAGAAGAGGGCAGCAATTGTGAGACATCATATTAAACGCAGTGCTGCTCTGTTACAGGGGAGAGCAAAGCTGTATTGGGTTCAGCTGGCATCTGTGCACAGAGGGAGCATTTGGACCAGACCTAACCAGAAGGGAATCACCCATCCCAGCAGTCATAACTTGAATTTCTTGGCAAGCCTTGCTACGGTGAGCTAAAGTGCTCCAGAGTCCTAGGTAAACTCGAAAGGCAGTCTAGGACACAAGGACTGAAACTCCTAGGCAACTCCTGGTGCTGGGCTGGGCTTAGAGACAGGGGACTAGGGTGGCACATGACCTAGGGAGACACCAGATAGGGTAGCTAAGGGAGTGCTTCTGTCACCCCTTCCCCAGCCCTAGGCAGCCCAGTTTACAGCAACAAAAGGGACTGCTTCCTTCTGCTTCAGGAGAGGAGAGTGAAGAGTAAACAGGACTTTGTCATATATCTTGGATACCAGCTCAGGCTTAGTAGGATAGGGCACCAGGCAGAGTCTTGAACATCCATTCCAGGACCTAGCTCATGAAAGACATTTCTAGACATCCCCTGGACCAAAAGAGACCCCACTGCCTTGAAGGGAAGGACCCAGTCCTGGCAGGATTCATCACATGCTGACTAAAGAGCCCTTGGGCCCTGAATAACAACCAGTGATACCCAGGTAGTATGCCATAGGCCTTGGGCTCAGAGCTGTGGTGTCTATGGTGAAAACCTCCTTCTATTTGAGAAAAGCAGGGGGGAAAGTAAAGGGAAATTTGTCTTGTAACTTAGGTACAAGCTTGGCCACAGTGGGGTAAAGCACCAAGCAGACCCTTGGAGTCCCCAAGTCTAGGCCTGGACTGTTGGTCAGCACTCCTGGACCTTCCCTGGGCCAAAGGGGAGCCTACTGCCCAGAAGGATGAGTCCCAGTTCTAACAGCATTCACCACAGGCTGATTGACAAGCCCTTGGACTTTTAATCAGATGTGGTCTGGCAGAAACGCCCCATGGGCCAGTGGTGGTGGTGGACACAGGGAGAGGCTTTTCTGCCTGCAGTAAAGGGAGAGAAGAATAGGAATAATGTTGTGTTGTTGTTTGAGTGCCAGCTTACCCACAGTAGACTATAACATTGGTACATTTCTAAGGTTTTCTACTCCAGTCCCTAGCTCCCAACAGCATCTCTGGACCCAGTCAGGGATGGGGAGAACTCACCACCCTGAAGGGAAAGACACATACCTGGCTGGCTTTGCCAGTTGCTAATGGTAGAGACCTAAAGCCTTGAGTGAACATGGGTAGTAGTTAGATAGTTGTTACAGCAAGCCTTGGGTGAGACCCAGTGCAGTGCTGGCTTCAGGTATAAATCAGCACAGTCCCAGTGGTGGCGGTCACCAGGGTGCTTGTGGCCCCCACCCCCAGTCCCAGGTGACTTAGCACAGAGAGAGAAACTTCATTTGTTTGGAGAAAGTAATGGAAAAGAACAAGAGTGTCTGCCTGGGAATCCAGAGAATTCTTCTAGAACTTATCCAAGACCACCAATGCATTTCTGTTATGAGTCTGCAAGAACCACAGCATTATTGGGTTTTGGGCCCAAGTTCCTCCAAGTACCTGGAAAACCTTCCTAAGAATGACAGGCACAAAAAAGCCCAGACTGCAAAAACTACAAGAAATGCCTAACTCTTCACTGCTCAGACACCAAAGAACATCTACAATCATCCAGGAAAATATGACCTCGGTAAACAAACTAAATAAACTACCAAGGACCAATACTGGAGAAACAGAGATATGTGACCTTTCAGACAAGAATTCAAAATGGCTGTGTTGAGGAAACACAAATAAATTCAAGGTAACACAAAGAAGGAATTTAGAATTCTATCAGATAAACATAACAAAGGGACTGAAATTATTAAAAAGAAGCAAGCAAAAATTATCAACTTGAAAAATGCAATTGACATACTGAAGAATACATCAGAGTTGCTTGCTAGGATAATTGATCAAGCAGAAGAAAGAATCAGTGAACTTGCAGACAAGCTATTTGAAAATACACAATCAAAGGAGACAAAAGAAAAAGGAATTAAAAAGAATGAAGTATGCCTGTAAGATCTAGAAAATAGCCTCAAAAGGGCAAATCTAAGAGTTCGTGGCCTTAAAGAGGAATTAGAGAGAGAGATTGGGGTAGAAAGTTTATACGAAGGTATAATATCAGAGAACTTCCCAAATCTAGAGAAAGATATCAATATCTAAGTACAAAAAGGTTATAGAATATCAAGCAGGTATAACCCAAAGAAGACTATTTCAAGTCATTCAAACTGCCAGTGATCAAAGATAAAGAGAGGATCCTAAAAGCACCAAGAGAAAAGGAACATAACATATAATAGAGCTCCAAAATATTTGGCTGCAGACTTTACAGTGGAAACTTTGCAGGCCAGGAGAGAATTAGCATGACATATTTAAAGTGCTGAAGGAAAAAAATCTTTTACCCTACAATAGTATAGCCAGTGAAAATATCTTTCAAACATGAAGGAGAAATAAAGACATTACCAGGCAAACAAAAACTGAGGGATTTTATCAACTCTAGATCTGTTCTATAAGAAATCTTAAAGGAAGTTTCTAATATGAAAGAAAAGGACATTAATGAGCGAGAAGAAATCATTTGAAGCTATAAAACTCATTGGCAATAGCACACAGAAAAACACAGACTATTATAGCACTGTAAGTGTGGTGTGTAAACTACTCTTAAGTAGAAAGACCAAATAATGAACCAATCAAAAATAATAACTACAAGTTTTCAAGACATACACAGTACAATAAGACATAAATAGAAAACAAAAAGTTAAAAAGGGGTAGGATAAAGTTAAAGTGTAGAGTTTTCATCAGTTTTCTTTCTTTAAAAAATTATACTTTAAATTCTGGGGTACAAGTGCAGAATGTGCAGTTTTGTTACATAGGTATACACATGCCATGGTGGTTTGCTGCACCCATCAACCTGTCATCTACCTTAGGTATTTCTCCTAATGCTATCCCTCCCCTAACCCCCCACCCCGACAGGACCCGGTGTGTGATGTTCCCCTCCCTGTGTCCATGTGTTCTCATTGTTCAACTCCCACTTATGAGTGAGAACATGTGGTGTTTGGTTTTCTGTTCTTTTTTTTTTTTTTTTTTTGAGATGGAGTCTCACTCTGTCACCCAGGCTGGAGTGCAGTGGCATGATCCCGGCTCACTGCAAGCTCCACCTCCCAGGTTCATGCCATTCTCCTGCCTCAGCCTCCCCAGTAGCTGGGACTACAGGCACCCACCACCAGGCCTGACTAATTTTTTGTATTTTTAGTAGAGACGGGGTTTCACCATGTTAGCCAGGATGGTCTTGATCTCCTGACTTCCTGATCCACCTGCCTTGGCCTCCCAAAGTGCTGAGATTACAGGCGTGAGCCAACGTGCCCAGCCGGTTTTCTGTTCTTGTGTTAGTTTGCTGAGGATGATGGTGTTCAGCATCATCCACGTCCCTGCAAAGGACATGAACTCATCCTTTTTTATGGCTGCATAATATTCCATGGTGTATATGTGCCACATTTTGTTTATCCAGTCTATTATTGATGGGCATTTGGGTTGGTTCCAAGTCTTTGCTATTGTGAATAGTGCCTCAGTAAACATATGTGTGCATGTGTCTTTATAGTAGAATGATTTATAATCCTTTGGGTAAATACCCAGTAATGGGATTGCTGGGTCAAATGGTATTTCTGGTTCTAGATCCTTGAGGAATCACCCCACTGTCTTCCACAATGATTGAACTAATTTACACTCCCAACAACAGTGTAAAAGCTTTCCTATTTCTCCACATCCTATCCAGCATCTGTTGTTTTTTGACTTTTTAATAATTGCCATTCTAACACGCATGAGATGGTATCTCAATGTGGTTTTGATTTGCATTTCTCTAATGACCAGTGATGATGAGCTTTTTTTCATATGTTTGTTGGCTTCATAAATGTCTTCTTTTGAGAACTGTCTGTTCATATCCTTTGTCCACTTTTTGATGGGGTTGTTTGTTTGTTTTTCTTGTAAATTTGTTTAAGTTCTTTGTAGATTCTGGATATTAGCCCTTTGTTAGATGACTAGATCGCAAAAATTTTCTCCCATTCTATGGGTTGCCTGTTCACTCTCATAGTTTCTTTTGCTGTGTAGAAACTCTTTAGTTTAATTAGATCCCATTTGTCAATTTTGGCTTTTGTTGCCATTGCTTTTGGTGTTTTAGTCATGAAGTCTTTGCTCATGCCTATGTCCTGAATGGTATTGCCTAGGTTTTCTTCCAGGGTTTTTACGGTTTTAAGTCTTATCTTTAAGTCTGTAATCCATCTTGAATTAATTTTTGTATAAGGTGTAAGGAAGGGGTCCAGTTTCTGTTTTCTGCATATGGCTAGCCAGTTTTCCCAACACCATTTATTAAACAGGGACTCCTTTCCCCATTTTTGTTTTTGTCAGGTTTGTCTATGATCAGACGGTTGTAGATATGTGGTCTTATTTCTAAGGCTTCTGTTCTGTTCCATTGGTCTATATATCTGTTTTGGTACCAGTACCATGCTGTTTTGGTTACTGTATCCTTATAGTATAGTTTGAAATCAGGTAGCGTGATGCCTCCAGCTTTGTTCTTTTTGCTTAGGATTGTCTTGACTATGTGGGCTCTTTTTTGGTCCCGTATGAAATTTAAAGTAGTTTTTTTCCAATTCTGTGAAGAAAGTCAATGGTAGCTTGATGGGGATAGCACTGAATCTATAAATTACTTTGGGCAGTATGCCATTTTCACCATATTGATTCTTCTCACCCATGAGTATGGAATCTTTTCCATTTATTTGTGTCCTCTCTTATTTCATTGAGCAGTGGTTTGCGGTTCTCCTTGAAGAGGTCTTTCACATCCCTTGTCAGTTGTATTCCTAGGTATTTTATTCTCTTTGTAGCATTTGTGAATGAGAGTTCACTCATGATTTGGCTCTCTGTTTGTCTGTTATTGGTGTATAGGAATGCTTGCAATTTTGGCACATTGATTTTTGTATCCTGAGACTTTGCTGAAGTTGCTTATCAGCTTAAGGAGATTTGGGGCTGACATGATGGGGTTTTCTAAATACACAATCATGTCATCTGCAAACAGAGACAATTTGACTTCCTCTTTGCCTATTTGAATACCGTTTATTTCTTTCTCTTGCCTGATTGCCCTGGCCAGAACTTCTAATACTATGTTGAATAGTAGTGGTGGAAGAGGGCATCCTTGTCTTGTGCCTGTTTTCTTTTTTTTCTTTTTCTTTTTTTTTTTTTTTTTTTTTTTGAGACAGAGTCTCGCTCTGACTGGACTAAACTTTCCAATCAGAAGACACTGGCTGGCTGAATGGATTAAAAAGCAAGACCCAATGATCTGTTTCTCACAAGAGACTCACTTCACCTATAGACACATATAGACTCAAAATAAATGGAAAGAAAAAGATATTCCATGCCAATGGAAACTAAAAAGGCACAGGAGGCTCTATACTTATATCAGAAAAAATAGATTTTGAGACAAAAACGGTAAGAGACAAAGAAGGTCATTACATAACAATAAAGAGGTGAATTCAGCAAGAGGATTTAACAGTTGTAAATATATATGCAACCAATGGTGAATCACCCAGATATATAAATCAGATATTATCAGAGCTAAACAGAGAGACAGATCTTAATAGCTAGAGACAATAACACCCTACTATCAGTATTGGACAGATCTTCCAGACAGAAAATCAACAACGAATCATCATATTTAATCTGCGTTACACACTATAGACCAAATGTCTCTCATAGATACATAGAGAACATTTTATCCAATTATTACAGAGTACACATTCTTTTCTTCAGCACATGGATCATCCTCAGGGATAGACCATATGCTAGGTCACAAAAGAACTCATAAAATATTCAAAAATTGAAATAATATCAAGTATCTTCTTTGAATACAATGGAATAAAACCAAAAATCAGTAACAACAGGAATTTTGGAAACCATAGCAAACACATGGAAATTCAACAGTTTGCTCCTGAATGGCCAGTGGGGTCAATGAAAAAATTTAGAAAGAAATTGAAAAATTCCTTGAAACAAATAATAATTAAAACATAACATAGCAAAACCTATGTGACAGCAAAAGCAGCACTAAATGGGAAGTTCATAGTATAAGTGGCCATATCAAAAAAGAAGAAAACCTTCAAATGAATAACCTAATAATGTATCTTAAACAACTAGAAAAGCAAGAGCAAAGCAAACCCAAAATTAGTGGAAAAAAGAAATATAAAGATCAGAGTAGAAATAAATCAAATTGAAATGAAGAAAATGATACAAAAGACCAATAAAACAAAAAAATTGCTTTTTGAAAAGATAAATAAAATTAACAAACCTTTAGCCAGACTAAGAAAAAGAAAAGACCCAATAAATAAAATCAGAGATTGAAAAAGAGACATTATGACTGATATTGCAGAAATTCAAAGGATCATTAGTGGCTTCTATTAGCAACCATATGCCAACAAATTGGAAAATCTGAAAGAAATGGATAAATTTCTAGACACATATGACCTACCAATATTGAATCATGAAGAAATCCTAAACCTGAACAAACCAGTAACAAGTAATGAGATCAAAGCCATAGTAATAAGTCCCCCACTTAAGAAAAGCCTGGGACCTGATGGCTTCACTGCTGAATTCTACCAAACATTTAAAGAATAACTAATACCAATCCTATGCAAACTATTCTGAAACATGGAAGAGAAGAGAATACTTCCAAACTCATTCTACAAGGCCAGTATTACTGAAATCCAGACTAAGACACATCAAAAAAAGGAAACTATAGGCTAATATCCCAGATAAATAGTGATGCAAAAATCCTAAAAAAAAATACTAGCAAACCAAATTCAACAATATATTTAAAATATCGTTCATCATGACCAAGTGAGGTTTATACCAGAGATGCAAGGATGGTGCAGCATACACAACTCAATTGCTGTGATACATTGTATCAACAGAATAAAGGACAAAAACCAAATGATCATTTTAATTTATGCTGAAAAACATTTGATAATATTCAACATCCCTTCATAATAAAAACCCTCAAAAAATAAATATGTAAGAAACATACCTCAGTATAATAAAAACCATATGTGACAGACCCAAATGTAGTATCACACAGAATGAGGAAAAACTGACAGCCTTCTCTCTAAGATTGAGAACATGACAAGGATGCCCACTTTTACCACTTTTAATTCAACATAGGACAGGATGTCCTAGATAGAGCAATCAGACAAGAGAAAGAAATAAAGAGCATCCAAATTGGAAAGGAAGAAGTCAACATATCCTTGTTTGCAGATATGATCTTATGTTTGGAAAACATAAAGACTCCACCAAATAACTATTAGAACAGATAAAAACAGTAAAGTTGCAGGATTCAAAATCAACATACAAAAATCAGTAGCATTTCTATATGCCAATAGTGAACAATCTAAAAAAGAAATTGAAAAAGTTATCCCACTTACAATAGCCACACATAAAATTAAAGACTCAGAAATTAACCAAAAAAGATCTCTATAATGAAAACTATACAGCACTGATGAAAGAAATTGAAGAGGACACAAGAAAGGGAAAGATATTCCATGTTCATGGATTGCAAGAATCAATATTGTTAAAATGTCCATACTACCCAAAGAAATATACAGATTGAATGAAATCCCTATCAAATACCAATGACATTCTTCATACAAAAAAATCCTACAATTTACATGGAACCACATAAGATCAACAATAGTCAAAGCTAACCTGAGCAAAAAGAACAAAACCGGAAGAATTGCTTTACCTTATTTCAAATTATACTACACAGCTATAATAACCAAAACAACACGGTAATGGCATAAAAACAGACACATAGACCAATGGAACAGAATAGAGAACCCAAAAACAAATCTATACATCTACCATCAATTCATTTTTGACAAAGCTGCCAATAATATACATTGGAGGAAAAGACAATCTCTTGAACAAATGGTGCTGGGGATATTGGTTACACATATGCAGAAGAATGAAGCTAGACCCCTGTCTCTTACCATATACAAAAATCAAATCAAACTGGATTAAAGACTTAAATATAGGACCCCAAGCTATGAACCTATTATAAGAAAACATTGAAGAAACTCTCCAGGACATTGGTCTTGGCAAAAATTTCTTGAGTAATATTCCATAAGCACAGGCAACCAAAGCAAAAATGGACAAATGGAATTACATCAAGTCAAAAATCTTCTGCACAGCAAAGGAAACTATCAACAAAGTAAAGAGGCACCACACAGAATGAAAGAAAATATTTGCAAACTACTTCTCTGACAGGGATTAATAACCAGAATATATAAGGAGCTCAAACAACTCTGTAAGACAAAATATAATAATCTCTTTTTTTTTTTGAGATGGAATTTTGCTCTTGTTGCCCAGGCTGGAGTGCAATGGTGCAATCTCGGCTCACTGTAACCTCCATCTCCTGGGTTCAAGTGATTCTTCTGCCTCAGCCTCCTGAGTGTATGGGACAACAGACGTGTGCCACTATGCCCAGCTAATTTTGTAGTTTTAGTAGAGATGGGGTTTCACCATGTTGGCCAGGCTGGTCTCAAACTCCTGAACTCAGGTGATCCACCCGCCTTGGCCTCCCAAAGTGCTGGGATTACAGGTATGAGCCACCGTGCCTGGCCTTAATAATCCAATTTTTAAATGGGCAAAAGATCTGAATAGACATTTCTCAAAAGAAGACATACAAATAGCAAACAGGTATATGAAAAAGGTGTTCAACATCATGTATCATTGGAGAAATGAAAATTGAAACTACAATGAAATATCATCTCACCTCAGTTAAAATGGCTTTTATCCAAAAGATAGGCAATAACAAATGCTGTGGAGAAAAAGGAACCTTCATACATTATTGGTGGGAATGTAAATTAGTACTACCATTATGGAGAATAGTTCCCAAAACACTAAAACTAGAGCTACCACATGATCCAGCAATCTCATTGTGACACATATACCCAAAAGAAAGGAAATCAGTACATCGAAGAAATACCTGCCTTCCCATGTTTGTTGCAACACTGTGCACAATAGCCAAGATTAGGAAGCCATCTAAGTGTCCACCAACAGATTATTGAATAAAGAAAGTGTGGTACATATACACAATGGGGTACCATGCAGCCATAAAGAAGAATGAGAACTGGAGGTCATTATGTTAAGTGGAAATAAGTCAGGTATGTGAAGACAAACTTCACAAGTTCTCTTTTTTGTGGGAGCTAAACGTCAAAACAATTAAACCTCTGGAGATAGAGAACAGAAGGATGGCTACCAGAGGCTGGGAAGTATAGTGGGGGCATGGGAGGGAAGTGGGGATGGTCAATGTATACAAAATAAAAACAGCCAGAAAGAATTAATAAGACCTAGTATTTGATAGCACAACTGGGTGACTACAGTCAATAATTTAATTGTACATTTAAAAATAACTAAAAGAGTATAATTTGATTGTAACACAAAGGATAAATATCAGGGGAACCCACCCTCTATATTTCAACGTAGATTCTTTCTATTTTCCGTAAGTGTCAGCCAGCTGAGAAATAAAGAGAAAGAGTACAAAGAGAGGAATTTTACAGTTGGGCCACCAGGGGTGACATCACATGGTAGGACCGTGATGCCCACCTGAGCCTCAAACCAGCAAGTTCTTTATTAAGGGTTTCAAAAGGGGAGGGGGTGTAAAACAGGGAGTAGGTACAAAGATCACATGCTTCAAAAGGTAAAGAGCGGAACTACTAATAAGGGTCTAACAAAGATCACATGCTTCTGAGGGAACAGGACAAAGGGAAAAGGCAGAAATACTGATAAGGGTCCAGCAAAGATCACAAGGCAAAGGGCAAAAGCAGAACTACTGATAAGGGTCTATGTTCAGCAGTGCACATATTGTCTTGATAAACATTTTAAACAACAGAAAACAGGGTTTGAGAGCAGAGAACTGGTCTGACCACAAATTTACCAGGGCAGAGTTTTTCCCCACCCTAGTAAGCCTGAGGGTACTGCAGGAGACCAGGGCGTATGTCAGTCCTTATCTCAACCGTATAAGACAGACATTCCCAGAGCGGCCGTTTATAGGCCTCCCCCCAGGAATGCATTCCTTTCCCAGGGTATTAATATTAATATTCCTTGCTAGGAAAAGAATTTAGCGATATCTCTCCTACTTGCATGTCCATTTATAGGCTCTCTGCAAGATGAA
This sequence comes from Homo sapiens, assembly GCF_000001405.40. Classification (NCBI taxonomy): domain Eukaryota; kingdom Metazoa; phylum Chordata; class Mammalia; order Primates; family Hominidae; genus Homo; species Homo sapiens. The sequence goes on from NC_000003.12 coordinate 153,874,968, forward strand.
AAATAAGGCTCTTTTTGCCCGACCCCACAGGCAGTCAGACCTTATGGTTGTCTTCCCTTGTTCCCTAAAAATTGCTGTTATTCTGTTCTTTTTCAAGGTGCACTGATTTCATATTTTTCAAACACACATGTTTTACAATTAATTTGTATAGTTAACACAATTATCACAGTGATCCTGAGGTGACATATATCCTCAGCTTACAAAGATAACAGGATTAAGAGATTAAAGTAAAGATAGGCATAAGAATTTATAAAAGTATTATTTGGGAACTGATAAATGTCCATGAAGTCTTCACAATTTATGTTCCTCTGCTACGGCTCCAGCCAGTCCCTCCATTTGGGGTCCCTGACTTCCTGCAACAGATAAATGCATGAGGGAACGGATACCCCATTTTCCATGAGGGAATTATTATACATTACATGCCTGTATCAGGGTATCTTCTGTACCCCATTAATATATACATCTACTATGTACCTACAAAAGTAAAAAATAAAAATTCAAAATTAAAAAATTTTTTAAACATTTAAAATGAGAAGTGTATATAAGCACTTATGTTGTTTACTGAAGTATGATGACTATCTCATGGAATAATGCTCCTGAGATTATTTAAGTTGCAAAATGAACTGGCCACATTTTTATAGAATGATATTTTAACAGAAAGAATGATTGACAAGCCATGGTTATTAGTACTTGAATACTAGTCAACAATTACTTGAAAATCAGCACAGTGAGTGTGTCATTTTAAGGAAAACAACTGACATTTGATGCCAATAATAACATTCAAGCTTTCAAGCAAAAAATTAGAATTTTGGAAAACGTGTATTCACCACTTGTTGGCCATAATAGCTATACAATACTTAAAAATGTTTTTGATGAGATTGGTGCTGATATTAATGACTGTGGTAATTTTCTGATATTGGGCAATTTTAAAATGTCAACATTAAGATATTTGCCTAACTCAGTGAAGCAATATTTTCTTTTTTAATTTTTAAGTTTGGGGTACATGTGCAAGTTTGTTATAGATGACTTGTGTCATAGGGGTTTGTTGTGCAAATTATTTCATCACCTAGGTATTAAGTCTAGTACCCATTGGTTATATTTCCTGATCCTCTCCCTCCTCTCACCTTCCATCCTCTGGTAGGCCCCAGTGTTCACTGTTCCTCTCTATGTGTCCATGTGTTCTCGTCATTTAATTGCCATTTATAAGTAAGAACACGCAGTATTTGGTTTTCTGTTCCTGCACTAGTTTGCTAAGTATACTGGCCTCCAGCTCCATCCATGTTTCTGCAAAGGATGTGATTTCATTCTTTTTCATAGTATTCCCTGGTGTATATGTACCACATTTTCTTTGTTCAGTCTACCATTGATGGGCATTTAAGTTGATTCTGTGTCTTTGCTCTTGTGAATAGTGCTGCAGTGAACATATGTGTGCATGGATCTTTGTAACAGAATGATTTATATTCCTTTGGGTATATACCCAGTAATGGGATTGCTGCGTCAAATGGTAATTCTGTTATATGTCTTTGAGGAATCTCCACATGTTTTTCCACAAAGGTTGAACTAATTTACACTTCCACCAACAGTGTATAAGTATTCCTTTTTCTCTGCAATCTTGCCAGCATCTGTTTTTTTTTTTTACTTTTTAATAATAGTCATTCTGACTAGTGTGAGATGGCATCAAATGATCAGTGATGTTCAGCTTTTTTCATATGGCTTTCGGCTGCAGGTATGTCTTCTTTTGAAAAGTGTCTATTCATGTCCTTTGCCCACTTTTTAATGGGGTTGTTTTACTCTTGTAAATTTGTTTAGGTTTCTTATAGATGCTGAATATTAAACCTTTGTCAGATGCATAGTTTGCAAAAATTTTCTCCCCTTCTGTATGTTGTCTGCTTTCTCTGTTGATACTTCCTTTTGCTGTGCAGAAGCTCTTTAGTTTAATTAGATCCCATTTGTCAATTCTTGCTTTTGTTGCAATTGAAGCAATATTTTCTTAACAGTTATCTTTTAAAAAAGCATTTTTAGCATCATGGGGAAAAATCCATTCAAAGACTGACGGATTTTAAGACAAGGAAATATGAAAAGTTTATTGACATGGTTTGAGAGTCTACAATTTAACTAATTTTTAACAAACTACCACTTGTTGAGCTTTGATAAAAAAATTTAAAAAGAGTATCCACAACTATCTAAAAGACTAAAAAACACGCTTGTTCTTTCCAAATGCATATTTGTGTGAACCTGTATTTTTTTCACATTTATACTTCAGCCGAAACAACATATCACAATGAATAGGGTTTAGGTACAGACAGGAGAATACAGGTTTTCTTTTTTAAGGCAGACATTAAAGAGATTTGCAAAAATATAAAATAATATCACTCTTCTCAATGTTTTTGTTTTACAAATATAGTTATTTTCATAAAATAATTTTTATAAAATATATATTTGATAAAACTATATAAATAAAATAGGTTTATCATTATTTTTAAATGAACTATAAATTTTTTTTAGTTTCTGAGTTTTAATTTCCAATATGATAAATGTGAATAGATATAACCTCCATAAGCAAAACTCGGGGTCCTCGGTAATTTGTAAAATACAAAGGTGTTGTAAGAACCAACTGTTTGAGAACTGCTACCCTATGGCGTGTTCCCATCTTCAGAGTTGAAGCTGGACCCATATTCCAGCTAATGGGAAAGGGAAAGAGCATGGAAAGGGGCATGTGTGAGGCTTGTACTGGAATTGGTACACTTCCCTTGGACTCAGATTCTAAGAGTGAGAACTTAGCCTCCTAACCACACCTGAGTCCAAAAGGAGCTGAAAATTGTAATGCTCAGCAGGGCAGCCATGACCTGGCTATAATTCTAATATTGTGGAGGACCTGGGGAATAGATTTTGGTGGACAACTAGCAGCCTCCAAAGTGGCCCTTTAACCTGGCATCACTAATCATCAGGGAATTGCACATCAAAACCACAATGAGATATCACCTCACACCTGTTGGGATGGCTACTATGAAAATGCAAGAGATACCAAGTGTTGGCAAGGGTATGGAGAAAAGGGAACCCTTGTACAGTATTGATAGAAATATATATTGGTACCGCCATTATGGAAAACAGCAGGGAGATTCTTTAAAAAGTTAAAAATTGAACTACCATTTGGTCCAGCAATCTCACTTCTGGGTACATATTCAAAGGAAATGAAACCATTATCTTGAAGAGATCTGTTCACTCCCATGTTCACTGCCTCATTATTTACACTAGCCAAGATATGGAAACAACATACATGCCCACTGATAGGTGAGTGGATAAGAAAAATGTGGTACACATGTACATATGTGTGTGTGTCTGTGTGTGTGTAATGAAATATTATTCAGCCATAAAAAAAAGAAATTCTGCTGCTTGCAACAACATGGATGAACCTGGAGGACATTATGCTAAGTGAAATAAGCCAGTACAGAAAGAAAAATACTGTATGGTCTCATTTATATGTGGAATCTACAACAGTCAAACTCACAGAAGCAGTGTATAATGATGGTGTTTTATTTGTAGTAACTAACAACAAATAGAAATTAAAATTTTATAAATGTTGTTTATAATAGCAACAAAAGTATGAAATACTTAAGAATTTATCCCTCTAAAGTGTGCAGGGCCTATAAACTGAAAACTACAAAACATTGCTGAGAAAAAAGCAAAGAAGACATGAAAAAAATAGATATATTTTGTTGAAGGGTTAGAAAATTCAATATTATTAAGATGTCAATTGTTTCTGAATTAATCTATAGATAAAATGCCATCTTGGTCAAAACGCCAGCACACATTTTTTATAGCAAAAAGAAAATTACAAAATAAAATTTTAATTATTGTTAAATTTGTATGAAAATGTAAAGGATCTAAAATAGTCAAAAACAACTTGGAAAAAGACAAACAAAGTTGGAGGGTTAACACTACCTAATTTCAAAGCTCATTGTGAAGCCACAGTAATTACAACAGTATGATATTGAAATCAAGAGAGAAAAATAGGTCAGTGGAACATAATGGAAATTCCAGAAATAGGCCCACACTTGTCAACCAACTGATTTTTAACTTAGTACAAAAATAATTCAGTTGAAAAAGTCTAGTCCTTACAATAAATGCTACTATTACAATTATATATTGATACTGCAAAATTGTGACCTTTGCTCCATTCATTGTACCATATATGAGAATTAACTTGAAATGGTTCAAAGACTAACAAGAAAAACCTGGAAGTATGAAACTTCTAGACAAAAAAAGAGAAGAAAATTTTTGTTGTCTTCGGCTAGTCCAAGAGTTTTTTAGACATAACACCAAAAGTATGATCACTAATAGAAAAATTAATAAACTAGACTTAATCAAAGTTAAATACTCTGTGTTTCCAGAGACTCTGTTAGGAGAATGAGAAGGCAACCCACAGACTTCGAGAAAATATTTGCAAAGTGTAGACCTAACACATCTGGGCTTGCATCTAGAGTATATAAAGAATTCTCAAAAATCATAAGAAAACAATAGTGCAAAAGATTTGAACAGACACTTGACTAAAGAAGACATATTAATGGCAGATAAGCTCAAGAAAAGATGTGTAGCATCACTAGTTTTTAGGGAAAAGCATGCTAAAATCAAAATGAGATATCTCTACATATTTACAAGGACGTATAAATTTTAAAACAAGTGTTGGTGAAAATATGAAGAAACTGGAACTCTCATACATTGCTGGTAGAAACTTAAAATAGTACAACTACTTTGGAAAAGTGTTTGGTCATTTATTTAAAAAATTAAACATATATCCTACCATGTGATCCTATCATTCTACTCATAGATATTTACCCAGAAGAAAAGGAGGCAATGTCCATACAAAGATTTGTATTACAGTGTTCATAGCAGCCTTCCTTGTAATACGCAAAAACTGGAAAGCAGCCCAAATGGTCATAAACAGGTGAATAAATATATAAATGATGCTATTTCTATACAATGGTATTAAAAAGGAACAGAGTATTGATACATGCTACAACATAGAGGAATCTCAAAAATCATAATGCTGTAAGAAATAGGCAGATTAAAAAAGAAAAAGAAAAATGCTGTATAATCCCTTTTGAAGAAAACTCTAAAAAATGCAAACTAATCCAGAGTCATGAAGAGTATATCAGTGATTACCTGGGGACAAGAATGGTGGTGGTATACAAAACGAACAAACAAACAAACAACAAACTGGTAACTACATGAGGTGATGGATGTGTCAAATAACTTGATTGTGGTAATCAAGTCACAATATGTATATTAAATCATCACATTTTATGCCTTGAACTTTTATAGTTTTATTATTCAAGTATACCTCAATAAAACTGGGGCAAAAAAGAATGAAGGAGGTGTGGAGAAAGGTAAGAGGGAGAGATTACAAGTGGCACAGGACAGTTTGGGGTGGTGTATATGTTCATTATTTTGATAGTAGTGATTGTTTCATGGTGGCATACATATGTCAAAAACTACCAAATTGTACACTTTAAAATGTGCAACATATTATATGCCAACTGTAGCTTTTTTTTTAATCTACAGAGAGAGCTCACAGCAGTTTCCACCACTGTCAATCTGTCTCACAAGTGCATTTGCATTTTGGCTTTAGTTTTCTTCTTACTTCAACCACTGCTTTATTTCAAAAGATGGCTAAGGTCCAAATTTATTTTAAAATGATTTGTCACTCACTCATATTCGGAAAGTGTGTACTCAGGAAAATAAACATTCAGCAAGTTTGCCTTACTGTCCACAGCTTTGCCTTATTGAGGTAAGTCAGCCAGTGTCCGCATACTCCAAAGCCAAATCATGTGCATGTGAAATATATTTTCAATATTGTTATCTTTCTTTATTAGGTTGGCTCATCAAATATAATTCATATCACTCAGCATGTGGAGCTCTTGGTTGACCCAGGCAAGAGAAACCAAACTAACTGGACAATTATTTTTAACCTTCCTAAGGTCACATCTACACAGTCCCCCCATATTCATGGGGGATATGTTCCAACACACCCAGTGGAATTCTGAAACTGCAGATAGTACCAAACCATATAGACACACATTTTCCATCTTAACTAAATATTTATTATGCACTGGGGCTATAACTAGCACAAATTTCTTTTTTCTTCTTTACAACTTCATGGATAGATTATTTGCTCTTAGCAACCTTGGCAAATGATTATGTTTCTTTCCTTATTAAGTCAAGAACTTTCATCTTTTCACTAAAGGAAGCACTTGACTGCTTCCCTTTAGCATATCTGAATTGCCAGCATCATTACTTAGGAACATTATTAAGTAAAATAAGGATTACTTGAACACAAGCACTGTGATGCTCAATAGTTGATCTGATAACCAAGACGGTTAGTTACTAAGTGACTAATGAGCAGGTAATATAGATGGCGTGGATGTGCTGTACAAAGAGATGATTCACGTCCCAGGCAGGACAGAGTGGGATGGCGTGAGATTTCGTCACATTACTCAGAACAGCATGCAATTTAAAACATGAATTGCTTTCCATTTAAAAATAAAGGAATTTGATTATGCGTTCTCTAAAGCTTCCAAAAGGTACGTTGCTTGTTTTATTTATTTATTTATTTTTGCATTTTCTATTTTATTAGATCTAAAGCTTCCAAAAGGTACGTTGCTTGTTTTATGTATTTATTTATTTTTGCATTTTCTATTTTATTAGATCTTGTTTACAAAGACTTTTGGAATAACTAGGCAATAGAAGACTTGCATGATGGCTATAGTTTATATGAGTCTCAGAGAAATAAATTGTTCCAAATTATACTTCCCCTGCCACAAAGCTCAAAGTGCCTTATAGAGTCATCACTCATTCTCCAACATGATAAAACTTATGAAAGTAAGTTGTAAATTGTAAAAGACTTAAAATGTGTACCATCATTAGTATTACTTCACAATTATTATCATCTTTATTGTTGAGTTCTCAATAATGTATTGGTTGCTGGAGGGAGTTTCTATAGGTTAGAGAATCCTTATCTTCAAAAAGTAAACGTAAATCATGATCTCATTTATCCCCATAAATTAACACATAATGTGGTTTTTAATTATACAGTAACCTCCTCTTATCCATGGTTTTGTTTTCTGTGGTTTCAGTTACACTTGGTCAACCACAGTCCAAGAATATTAAACTTTTAATTTTAGAATAGTTTTATATTTACAGAAAAAATTATAAAAATAAGAGAGTTCCCAGGTGCCTCACAGCTAGTTTCCCCCATTGTTTGTATCTTATTAGGGTTGTATGTTTGGCGCAACTAATAAACAATACTGATACATTATTATTAAACTCCATACTTAATTCAGAATTCATTCATTTTTCCCTCCTATTGTCCTGTTCTCTTTTGTGTTACAGGATCCAGTCCCAGATACGTATTACATTTAGTCATCATGGCTCCTTCGTCTCCTCTGGTTTGTGAAAGTTTCTTTTTAGACTTTCCATATTTTCCATGATCTTGGCAGTTTTGAGGATTACTGGTGATACGTTCTATAGAATGTCCCTCAGATTGGGTTTGTCTAATATTTTCTCTCTTAGACTGAAACTATGGGTTTGGGAAAGCAAGATCACAAAAGTGAAGTGCCTCTTCCTTATCACGTCATATCAAGGGGTGCATGTTATCAGCACAACTTATCCCTGGTGATGTTAATAATTGATCAACTGACTGAGACAGTGTTTGCCAGCTTTCTTTACTATAAAGTTACATGCTACATAAATTACTTGGAATTCTTTTGTGCAGGAGATTTGTTTCTGCTTCATTTATGTACTTATTTATTCATTTATGTATAGAAGTACTACTCACATATTCTAATATGTACTTATAAAAAGTATGTGTATTTGCTTTATACATTGGGCTATAAATCCAATGCTATGTTATTTATTTTGTTGTTCAAATTTTTTAGCTTTGGCCACTGGAAGCTCACTGAGCTTGTCTCCTGTGTCCCTTTGAAAAACGCTCCATGGTTTTGTTTTTTGAGTACTTTTTATAGGCAGTGGGTGAGAAGAAGACTACAAGATGCTATAGACTTTTCTTATATGTTCTTTGCACCAGCCATAGAAACAAATATTTTTCCAAAGAGCCCTGGTTCTTTTTATTGGAGAATTGTATAAGATAACAGAATTCATTCATTTTTATGATCCAAAATTGTTATCATATATTTCCAGTGGCATTTACAAACGTGCATTGTAATAGAACAGTTGTTCTACCCTTCTCTAAAACCTTTGACAAAAATTGAAATGGGTAAGCAATGACTTTTCTGAAATTCAATGATGAATTTTTACTATAATTCTTACTGTGTTCCTTAACAACAATTTCTCTTTCTCTTTTGAAGTCCTTGAGTAGTTTACACTCAAATCAAAATTGAATAACACTTTTCAACAAATCAGCTGTTAGCTCTAACTTTAAGTTTAGGCTTCTAAGCTGAATTTTTCACTCTGCTATATAATTAAAAGGTCTTGTTACCCAGGGCTGCGTCCCTCATTTTTATACCTATCCCTCCTGATGCTCTGATACCTGAGATTGGTTTTCATCGTGGGGTTTAAATATGAAAATATAAAGAGATTTTATGAAACCCTAGTGCAATTTAAATGAATTCAGTTTAACTTTAAATGCTTTCAAAAATGCATTGCTGCTAACAAATAAAAAAATTTTAAAAAATTCTGCACAGATGCAAACAGCCTCAAGGGCCTTCTATTTTATACATTTAAATGTGAGTTGCAGGAAAATGGATAATATTTCTAAAGATATAAAGTAGAAATTTCTGAACATTTATCTTGAGAATGATGTTCTGAAATATTCAGGCAGAATTTGAAGTCATTAAACTTTCTTTAACAAAAAAAAAGTAATTTTAACCAATATTATACAGTCAGTGATGCCTTTTTGAAATCAGTAAAAGATAAGTCTGGGACTGGCTTTTGAAGTCAGATGAAAACAGCCTCAAAGGGCACTTGAAAATCCAACAAAACTCCAAACAATGTTTTGTAGAAATGAGAAAGTGGGATGAGTTCTTTCATTTTGAATCTTTCACTTCATTGTGAACAGGGTACTTTAGAACCATAATCTGCTGGAGCTGCACAGACCTTTGAAGCGTGTAGGCTAATTTTACAGAAGAGGAAATCACTCATTAGATTGTGCAAAATACGTTACTTTTAGTTTGTATATACCGAAAGGTTTGTGGCATAACTATGAAATTGATATAAAAAATTTGATGAGTGGAGTGGTTAGGGCAACAAACTAATTCAATTACAAATAAAATTATATTTATGATGCATTTAATTTTCCTTAAAATATGTACTGTTTTTGTTAGAAATGTATTGCTTTTAATCACAAAGCCCTGAATCTGCTTATCAATTGTTCACTAAGACAATTTCTCAACCAACCATCATAATTAATTTCTTTATGTTTTTCTTTCTGGAATTCTGGCATCTATAAAGAGAGTGGTTATCATTTAATGAAGGAATCATCCAAAATAATGAACATAGATTCCAGTTTATCTGATTCTGTTAACAGTCGGCTATGGTTTGGACATGTGTCCCCTCCAAAACTTATGTTGAAATTTAATCCCAATGTTTAAGAGGTGATTAATTTAGGGCTCTTTGGGTCATGAGGACTCTGCTCTCATGAATGGCTTAATCCACTAATGGATTAATGGATTAATGGGTTATCATGGGAGTAAGACTGCTGACTTTATGCAAAGATAAAGAGAGACTTGAGCTAACATGCTCACCGTCCTCACCATGTGATACCCTGAGCCTCTTTGGGACTCTTTAGAGAGTCCCCACCATCAAAAAGGCTCTCACCAAATACAGCCCCTCAACCTTGGACTTCCTAGTCTCCATAACTGTGTGAAATAAATTTCTTTTCTTTGTAAATTGCCCAGTTTCAGGTATTCTATTATGTGCAACAAAATACAGACTAAGACGCATGCTGTTTGTGTTCACATTCACAAGACACAGCTGAAACGCAGCCAGTAGCAAGGATTAAAACAGGAATTTAAAAGAATTAAGAAAATGTGTAATAGATTGCACATCTTAAACTATCAAGTTTGTTAAATGTTGAGATAGTTATTTTTTTCAGTTTGATGTTGCCTTGTTGCCATATGGTCTATAGCTGGCATTTAGTGATAGCAGGCAGCCCATTTCTTATCATTATTGTGAACAGCAGGATGTAAATGGCATGACCTAAACCAACTGGGCTCGAAGGTGTTAACTCCCTCAGAACTTAACTAAAATGTACACCGTATGCACGTGTGTACTTAGCCTTATGCTTTTTACATCCCGACCTTGAGTCTTTTTCTTCTTTTTAAGAGATTATACAATTTAGTTTTGTATTTTTGTAATGATTTTTTTCAATTGACAAATGTTAGCTACATGTTTTTCAATAATCATCCTCTTATCTGAGTTCATCACTAAGAGAGAAAAATTGCTTCACGTTATCTTGAGTAACATTTGGATGAGCTATCAGTCATCAACTGAAATTAACCTGAACATGTCTCCAATGACATGAAGAACATTTAAGCATGCCAGCTGGAAGGCATTTACAGTTTCATTTTTCCAGCTTCCACAGAAAATCTTTCCCATGCACATCTGTGAAGGTTTTATAACGATTAGACTGATGTGAGCTTTGTTTGGCATTAGGGCACTCAGAGCCATTTAAACCAGCCTGAAGTGTCAGAAACATACCCAAAAATTAAGACCAAGAAGCATTTCAATTCACACATTGCAGCTCTGTCCTCTTGTTTATGATTGATTTAAAGACTATTGCTAATTTTCTAAAAGGCAGCTCAGAGCATGCACAACCTCTTTAGTGTCGTGTTTGTTCTCTAGTATTCCCTCATCACGATGATTGTTAACCTTAAAATTGGAAAGACCCTGTAGATCACCTGATCCAACACTACAATTTTATTACTGAAGAGACTTGGCTCTAGAGAGATTGAATGGGTTATCCAGATCTACATACCTACCTCATGGCAACATGAGGACAAAGCCCAGATCTCCCTCCTCCAAGTTCAATGCTGTTTCTACAATATCAGGGTGCTTTCCTTATTCTTTCAAAATTATAAATATGTGAATTATGTTGATATTTGTATTCATATGTGGAGACTTTCATGAGTCATCATTACAAACCAAAGATGATATAAAAACAGTGTCAACATACTTACAATAACATAGAAAAATTATCTTTGATCACTGTGAAAACTACATTTTTACTGCAGTAGACAGGCGCTTTATAGCATATACACTTGCTAGATTGTAAGCACTGATTCAGAATTTTTAATACTTTGTAAAGAAAATTAGCATTTAGTAGCTTTATGTCAATATTCAAAGTCAGATCTTTTTCTCTTAAGTAGCTTCTGTAGAGTAAAAAATAAAAGGAACTTAGCATCACCTGTTAAACTGAGATTCTAAACATTGCAGAGTCTCAAAGGCGTATATAGTTATTTTCCCTGCTTCTAGGACTCCCATATTTAAACAATTCCAGATACATAAAAATCTACTATGTTTTTAAAGAGTTTTTCTAAATAGTTTATTGAAACCTTTAAAATTTAACAAATCTCTATAACATGGTGGAGTCAGATCTGGACTCAAACCCCACCTCTGTCATTTACTGGCCATGTGATTTGGGGAAAATCCGTCTAAGCTTCAATATCTTCAAAAAAAGTATAAATAGCCAGTTCATAAGATTGTGAAGAAGATTAACTGATAACCCCCTAATTTAGAACCTAGCACATAAGAAGTGTTCAAAAAGTGGTAATTCCCAATAATTTTTTAAAACCAATCATCTCACTATTTACTGAACATATAGTAATCAAAATATTAGAAGATATGCCTTGGAAAAGCAAAAGAAATATTACACGCAGTGCTGTCTTCAGAGCTACAAAGCACATATAGTCATGAACAAAACGACTGGTATTAGGCAGTATGATTAAGACCAAAATGGGTAGACCAGGTACTAGATGGATAAAAGTTATATCTGTCCAGAAGTTGGGTTAGTCGGGAAAGACTTTGACAACATCTAAGTTGAGTCTTGTAATTAATAGAATTAAATAATATTCACAGAAGTAGAGAGAAATGGATTGGGCAGGGAGAAAGAATAGACCAAGTGAGCTAATCCATGAAATTTGAACTGTTATTGTCTTCAATCTGATGAGAGAAGAAGTTCATATACAACACATAAAGTTAGGCATCAGCACCATGAAAAGCTCTAAAGATGATGGTGAAAAGTTATAGACATATGTCCTGGATATTATTAGTAGATCATCTTGATTTCAAATAATTTCCCATTTTTACCCATAAATTCGAGGATTTAAAAAAACTGTCCCTGGTTCCATTTTCCCTCCCCAAATTGTTTTTTCTCAATTCACCACATATTGTGAGCAGGAATGTAAAAGGGTGCAACCGCTGTAGAAAACAGTTTTGGCAGTTCCTGAAAAAGTTCAACAGTGTTTCAATATGACCCAGCAATTCTGAGCCTAGGTGTATACCCAAGAGAATTTAAACATATGTTCATACCTTAAAAAGTTCATAGCAAAAGCATTTCTAACAGCCAAAAAGTATAAAGAACCTAAATCTCCATCAACTGATGTCTGGATAAACAAAAGGTGGTACATCCATACAATGGATTATTCAGCCATCAAAAATAAAGTACTGATACATACTACAACATGGTGAACCTTGAAAACATTATGCTAAGTGAAATAAGTCAGATGCAAATGACCACATATTATATAATTCCATTTTTATGAAATGTCCAGCATAGGCAAATCCATAGAGGCAGGAAGTAGATTAGTGATTGCCAGGGGCTGGGGGAAGGGGAAAATAGGAAGTGACTACTAATGAGTGCAGGGTTGCTTTGTGAGTTGATGAAAATGTCTTGGAATTAGATAATAGTGTTCAATACATAATCTTACATAACTTACATAATCTTACATAACTAAGGTAATATACTAAAAACCACTGAATATTGAAAACCCACCTTAAAATGGTGAATTTTAAATTTGTGAATTATATCTCAAATTTTTAAAGAACATGCAGAACGAATAAAAGCCCATTTCTTCTCATTGAAGACTTAGAGGCAGGCCTTAAGCCCCTCCCCACTTGGCAATTCAACCTCTCTACTCCTTATAGTTCCTTTAGAAGTCGTGCCTCAGATCCCTACCATTCCCCCACACAAGTTTGGAAACAACTGCCATAAAACTTGAAAATATTTTAAGCGTCTAATACATCACTTCTGAGAGTGCTTATCACACCCAGAAGTAAAATCTTTATATAGTCATAACTACTAATTTTTATTTGGTAAATACGGTCACCCTATCTTGAAGAAAAGGGATCCTTAAAAGTCAAGTGTTTTGTAGGGCATTTCGTAAGTATTTTCTCCACAAAGCGTTTGAGACTAAGACTAACTAGGTTAGGAGATGGGCAATAAAAGTCTAAAAGACTTGATCTTTAACATTTACACCCCCAGCAGCTACTTTTTTTTTAACTAGGAAAATGCCTAATGGATTTTTGGATGCTAGTATTAAAATAAACCTATAAATGTTTGTATACCCATTAGCTTGCTAAAACTAGAAAATATATTTTTGAGGAAAGTCAAGCATAGAAAAGCTGCGGGGGTTGGGGGAGGCAGCACCTACAAGTTTAGGTTGTCTCTCTTACTCCAGCAAGAATAAAAAGCAAGGGAACCGTGCCCACCACCAGCTATCTTCCTTATCCAAATGAAAATTACTTCTTACTTTCCTAATTTAGTTGTAGTGTGGGCAGTTAACAAATATATTATTTCAGCCACAAAACCAAAATATTATATTAGTATTAACAAGCAGAGTTATAATTCCAATTTAATGTGGCAGGTAGAACTAAAGGCATAAATCACACCTGAGTACACGTGATTATAAAGTTATTAGTTCTCAAAATATAATTTGGTAGTCTTTACTTTGTGTTATTGTTGCTGCACTTAGCAATTTTGCTCCGTGTGTGTGTGTGTGTGTGTGTGTGTGTGTGTGTGTATCATGTTGAATGGGGTACCTGGTACCATTGACATTTATTTTCATGCTTGCAAATTTCCTATAGATATGTCTTTTCAGTAAGTATTTTTTTCCTACTATATTTGGAATATTTCGCCATAACTTCTGGGCCCACATGACACTTCCCACTTGGGAGATCTGATAAGATCTATTCATTGTATCAATCAGTATGGAAGATGTAAGTAATTAACACATATATAGTACAAGCTGGTACTATACTGAGCACTTCTCATGCATTGCTTTATTGAATTCTCACAGGCCTATGAGACAAATTTGATGATTAACACCACTTTACAGATAAGGAAACTAAGGTGTAGAACAGCTAAGTAACTTGTTCAGGGTCACATGGTAATGTTTTAGACCCAAAATTCTAGTGTAAGTTTAGTCTAATTGCAAAGTCAATGACACTAAAACACTTCATTATATATAGTACATTCCAGAAATTTTCCTGAAATCTTTTGCATACATTTCTGCCTAAAAAAGAAAAAGACAAGCATTTTGTTTTCAAAATCATTATCAATCATGAAATGTTTAGAAGTGTGATGGCTGCATTTTTGGCCTTCTTAATATCAGCATGGATAAGACTCAGAGGCATGAAAGAACAGGCACCTATAAAAACTGGCCAAAAGTAAAATATATGTATATGTGTGTGTGTGTGTGTATATATATATATATATATATATATATATAGAGAGAGAGAGAGAGAGCTCATATGTGTGTGTGTGTGTATATATCTATCTATCTATATAGATAGATAGATAGATAGATAGATAGATAGATAGATATGAAAATGATTACATCAGTAATAGTGGGTAGGCAAAGGAAAGAAAAATGAAAAAGACTTATCAAGACACAGGTTGTTCTCCATCTGTCAGAGTTAGAAAAAAAAAGATTCAGGTTGACAAGACATGTAGAAAGTCTTAAAATAAATAGAAGGCTATTAGACTGAAGTGGTTTTAATGCCCTGGGTTCCTACCCAAGCAAACCAAAACCAGACTCAAATGCATTTCTTGTAAATGATTGACTTAGAGGAAAACAAAATCTAAACTTAATCATCAGAAACCACCAATTTACCTCTAATTACATAAATAGAACTTTTTACCTATATAGTCCAATTAAGGCAACTACATAGCTATAACAAATCATTTTTTTTTGCATTGCTTCCACTTTTACTTTATAAAAGCTTTTTCTTCGAGGCCTTTAGGTAGAGCCACAACCACAAACTACGGTTTTCAACTGCCCAATTCATAAATACTAGTTTGCTCAAATAAATGCTTAAAAAATTTTTAATGCACCTCAGTTTAATTTTTAACAGTACATTCCCATATAAATGGTTCTTGTTTGGAAACAAGTACTTTTCAAAGTGACTTGGATAAATACATTGTCAGGGAAGAGGTTAGAGTGTGTGGGCCTACGAACACTGAACAGTTTCTCATAATTCATTAGCTTTTTCAAAGGTAAATAGGAGAAGCATTCATTTACCACAACTTAAGACTCTGCTTGGGATGCTATGGAGAGGATTTGTCCAACTTGCATTAACATAGGGGTGTTCTATGAGGAAGAGACAAAGTTCCTACTGGGAATATGGCTCTAATACACCACTAATACACCTGGAGAGCCATTTGTTTAGGAACGGCTAGCAAGATCAGATCTTTCAGCCACTATAATAAGGATATTTGTGTATATTCTAGTATGATCACAATGGGCCTGAGAAATAATAAATATGGTTTTCATTAATTCCAGTGATTTAAAATTTCCATAAATCATTAACTCACTAAGTGAATGCTGAGTGTCTGTGTAGTAGAGTGAAAAATGAAGTGGACCTGCAACCATGGGTGGAATTTTTGCCACTTACTATGTACCTTGATCAAGATCTTCAACTCTCTGAGCCTCAATTTCATCAATAAAGTGAAGACCATTCAGCAGGTAATTGTTGAATAATTACTAAGCACTTGGCATTGTGGGATATTAAAGAACAGTGAGACAGAGCCCATACCCCACGTAGGATTTAGGATACTCTTTGTTGTTACTCCATAAAATAAAGACATTGGCTACAGAGAAAGTCAGCACTTCACTAATATTTATTGAGATGCCAGACCTCATCTACTTATTTTGGTGAAGAAGATAATACGCAGTTCAGTGATTTTGTTGCTTTAGGAAAACCTCCAGAAGGTTGTAGAAGTGCAGGATTACAATCTCATTCTCATCTTTCCATTCTTAATGGTTATTAAGAGCAGCCTCTGGAATCAGACTGCTTGGGTTCATGTCCATAGTCTGCGACTTACTGTGTGACTTTGGACAAATATGCCTTAGTTTTCTCATCTGTAAAATGAAAATCATGAAAGTATACATCTCACATTGCTGTGAAAATTAAATAATGTACATAAAACATTTGAGAAGTATAGCTGACATATGTGTTAGCTATTATTATTAAAATTAGCCTGTCCACACAAATTAATCTAACATATAGAGTCCAGTAGGCACCAAAATAGTGGCAGGCAATTATGGATTTGCCTTTGTAACAAGTGTCTAAACACAGATTAAATTAAATATAACACAGATTAGGTTAAATATCCAAGTTACAATTTATCAGTGATGCTAAGTTATAGAAATATATAAATATCATGACGCAAGGCCATTAGACAACAGATAATGGAGAGCATTGTTATACACAATTAGATGTTTCATAAGAAAGTAATAAAAAATATGTATTTTTAATGTGTGTGAGTCTTTAGGCAAAGGCAAATGGCATACACGTTTAAGCTAAATATTAATGCATTCATTTCAACAAACGCAAAAGTCCTTTCCTTCAATACTTAGTAGTAAAGACTACCAAAAATGTCAAAATAATATCAAGACTGTTGATTACAAGCAATAATATTCATCTAAACTAAATATTTTTAAGAGCAGAAGGAGAGAAAAAGTGGCAGTTTCAAAAGGAAAAAGAAACAATTTTAATATTTGGCCTGTTTCCTGAAGTTTCTATTTGGGGCATTTAATTCTATTTCACTTTTGTTTTATCTTCTCATTGAATTTGTCCAGAGAGCAGGAAGGAGTTCTGTTATTATATTTTGTGGGTTGTAAACCTTGACATGTCACTCCTTTTTAATGCATTAGCATTCAGAAACTTAACCTCTTATTTCTAGAGGAGAAAATTGTCCCTTGATTAATGTCCTGAAGACTTGTACACTTGCTATTTATTATTTTCAAAGAACTATCTCCAAGGAGTAAGGATTTGAATGTATGAAGGATATTAATTTTAACCCTATTATAAATCATTTCACCACATTTCTTTTCCTTCTCTGTGTAAAACTCCCATGTTAACGTGGCAACTGTAAGTCATAACAAAATTCCACAACGTCCGGTGAGATCTTCCACCAAAGTGATTACATGCACAGATAAGATCCAAATGTGCTATATACCATTTTATTTCTGTGTAAAACTTCCATGTTAACATGGCAACTGTAAGTCATAACAAAATTCCACAACGTCCGGTGAGATCTTCCACCAAAGTGATTACATGCACAGATAAGATCCAAATGTGCTATATACCATTTTAAACACCCGAGGATTTACATTCCATGTTAGCATATGAAAATCCCTGTAAAGAAGACTTTAACTTTTTACAAGCATAACATTTTTTAGTACACTGTCTCCCAAACATTTCAATCATGGAAAGTTTTTTTTTTTTGATGCACCTATTAACATTTTATAGAACTTTTGTCCTGTAGGACACATCTTGGGAAGTAATACTGACAAACACAGAGCAGCACTTTAATACCTAAAAAAGCTCACGTATAAAGAACAAAGTACAGTCCTGGAAGTGCCAGCAGGCCTCTGAAGTAGCTACAAGAAAAATAGCTGGCACAAAGCAATGCACTTGAATCCATAAATGAGCTTCCCTCAGTCCTTCACCCACACAACTGTTTTCAAATTAAGGCTACAACTCAGGAGTTGAGGCTCACTGCTGGTGATGAAATATATCTCCCAGAGGTGTTCACAGAGGACAGCAAATGGCAGCATGCAGAAATCACAAGAGCATAGCATAGTGAGACTGTTTACAGACAGGAAAAATAGTTCTAGACACATCAGCAGACTTTGGGGGTATATTACATATTAAAAGTTGAAATAATTTATATTAATAATAATAACACTAATTTTTCCAGAGGAAGTCATGTTCAATATATCACCTTTAAGTGGGTAATCTAGTGTGAAATACACTTCAGAAAGATTCGTTTTTATTTTTTTAAGACAGGGTCTTACTCTGTTGCCCAGACTGGAATGCAGTGGTGCAACCATAGCTCACTGCAGCCTCAAACTCCAGGCTCTGGGCTCATGCAATCCTCCTGCCTCAGCCTCCCAAGTAGGTAGGACTACAGGCACAGACCACCACGCTTAGCTAGGTTTTTTGTTGATTTGTGTGTTTATTGTAGAGACACAGTCTCACTATGTTACCCAGGCTGGTCTTGAACTCCTGGGTTTGAATAATCCTCCTGCCTCAGCCTCCAGAAGTACTAGGACTACAGGTTGAGCCACTACACCCAGACAGAAAGATTTCTATTAAAAAAATTAAATTTAAAAGTTTCGGTACGTAAGAAAATTTATATTTAATGGTGCATCTTAATTTCAAATGATAAGAGAAACTTTCTAAAAGCTATTCTAGTGGTAATCTTACTGTGGGGAAAGAAACCATAGGAATCACACTAAATATGTTTAGATTTATACTCTGAATGAAATAGGTTTAGAATATACAGTTTTCAATAAATGAGTTAGAAAAAAACTTTGAATTCATCTGTGATGCTAACCATGGGAATATTTTATCTTCTAGTGTTATTACATTAATCTACATAAACAAGATGGCTTGCCCGATAAGAAGTAACTCGCCCCTTCCCTCATTTCCAATGAATTAGTTATAAAATATGGCTGCCAGATTCAGCATGCAAAAATATATGATACCTAGTCTGAAATTCTCTGAAAGTAAATTTAACTGGTATTTTATCTTTATCTAGCAACCCTACTACAGGTATAAAATATATTATGGATATAAGAAGCTATAGGAAAGTGGATCTTCAAGTTCATAGGGCACCCCTGGGGAAGATGGACAATTAAGTAGTTAGGTGTTTTAAAACAAAAATAAAGAAAATAGATTAAAATTACTAATCTACCTTCTGTCATGGGATGATGAAGCAAGAAGGCCCTATCCAAATGCCAGCCCCTCAGTCTTAGACATCCCAGGCTCCAGAACTGTTAGCAATAAATGCCTGTTCATTATACATTACTCAGTCTCCAATATTCTGCTGTAGCAGCATAAAATGGACTAAGACAACAATCAACTTGGAAGAACACTCCCAGTTATGAAGATCCCTATCCTTGACCCAATGTGGGTAAAAGGCACTACTTTCTTCCTCATACAATAAATGTACTTCTGTCTGAGTGTGTGACTGCTCAGTGTATCCACCTAGGTGTATTGAAGTTGGGTGGAAACAGCTAGCTATTTCTATAAGCCTGGACATATGTTACAACTTAAGCTGAGTAAAATACCTTGGAGAAAACAAAATCACAGTGTCTGGAGTTCAGGTGAAAACAAGGGACCACAATAGATCACTGTGACATCCTCAGTGCCAAGGTTAATGTCTAAGACTAGGGACTTGGACGTAATAGTATTCTTGGAGAAATTGCTTTATCTCTTATGCCTCAGGTTCCTCATCTGTAAAATGGGTAGAATAATGGCTCTTACTTCAAAAAGTTGTCATGAAGATTTAACAAGGGCTTACAACAGTGCATGTTCATAGTAGCCTTTGATAAACGTCACTCATTTTTACAGTAAAATTTTACTGTCTTATTCTCTGTTCAACTTGGAGCTTTCCCAGAAAAGAAGGCAAATTGTCCAAAGCCAAAGCTACTTTCTTAAAGCAACTAAGTCAGTAGTAGCATTGGCCTCACTGAACTGTTTTTTACTCTCATGGCCTGAGGTCTTTAGTAGCTTCAGAAGAATCTTCACAAACAATGATGTCCAAAGATATTTAAAACCTTAGAAATGTGTAATTCAATATCCTGACTAGATGGTGACTGGATACTTTATCAACCGGGTGTAATCTCATAGTCAAGAAAGACTTCCCAACTTAGTTGTCAAGTTAGAATGAGGAACAGAGTTACCTGGTCAAAGGTTTCAGATTCTAACTTCCCTGAACTAGGTTACTGAGATACACAGCCCTCTCTACAGGACACATATAAGTCAAAGGTGGCTGTCTTTGGATTGATCATGGACACTCTCCTGAACTCCTGCTTGTTGCCCTACCCCCGTCCTCTCCCCTGGGCTAAGGTAGCTGAGTTAACTTGGCCCAGCTGAGTGTCAGAGAGAGGCTGCTTTTTTAATGCTGCTTAATGCAAATTATTTAGGAAGGGTCTTACAAAATATCTATTATTACTTAATATTTAGTTGGTACCCTTTGGGGTTGAAGAAATTGTATGTACTGTGACCTTTATTCATTTCATATTCCTGAGAAGCCTTTCATTAAACATTGCCTGACAGTTTTTAAAAACTAATTAGGAGTAGCTGAATGAGTTAATGGAGATCCCACTATCCTTCTTACCCTTCCACATTCTCATTATTCTGCAGTCATAATTCCAAAATTGAGACTTCATCATTGGAGCACCTCTTTGATGCAGAAGGTCAAGCGTTCACCCATGCTATTTCCAGCACTCCATTATTCATTTGGACTGGCAGTTCTCTTAATTAACACCTTGTCTCTATTTACTGCAAAAGTTCAGAGTTGGGAGCTAATGCCAAGAACATATGTAGTGTCTTTAATATGAATTTGCCACATTCAAAATGGAAATGATTTTATCTAAGACATCATCAGCTCAATAATGTTCAACAATGCACTGTAAAGTTGTTTTCTAATACTAATTATTGATCACCCACATAATACTGGGCAGAATGAGTTTATCATTTCTCATTGCCAATGATTTATATAGGGAAAAACGCAAGTAAACTAATACACATTCTTCATTGTGAAAATGAGAGGCTACAGAGGTAAGGTAGATGCTGGTATTGTTTATAATTATAAGCCACCTAAATAAATATTCATGAAAGAATAAAAAGAACGCACATTTAACATATTTTTCACTTTAAAAAACACAATTGAATAATTATAGTATTTATATATAATACTTCCCTTGAGCCACGAATATAAAATTTGAATAATACATTATTAGAAAAAGGTGCAAATAGGAGCCTATGAGGAAACAATTGGAGAAGCACTTTCTCTTTTGCTGTTGGTTTCTGCCTTTGGGATAGTCACACCTCAGTGCAGCCCCTTTAACTCTACAGTATTCATAATATGCCACTTGTCTCAGAGACAAAAGCTATTAATGACTGTCTGATCCTCCTAATTAGCTTGACTGATTGGTGGGAGTCAGAGCAACATTAGCAGTCTGGCGAGGTTAGTTGCAGACTGACTTTAATTGTTTTGCTTATCACTTATTAATTACCATTAACTGCCATTTCAGAGTGTTCTATGTCAAAAAAGTGGAACTCCATTAGCATAATTTGCCTGTATACACACTTTTTTTTGTATTGTATTTTTATTTGCCTATATCTAACACAACAGATTTTTAGATCCAGTGACAAGAGTGTAGCATTTGAGGACCATTTGACATTGAAGAGTAAATATATTAGTAGTTTGCAAAAAGTCCATTGGTAATATCAGGCCAAAGCAAAATGAAAAAAGTGTATAGAGAATAGCCTTTGCTTGGTTTTATGCAATAGAAGTTTTCTTATAAGAAATTCAAAGCACACTGTGTTTACAGACCTTGAAACAGATGAGAGGATCTTCATCCTTTCACAGAAGCAAGGGAAAGCCTTTTGTGATTAAATTATTTTAATGATTTTTAATATTACTAAATCAAAAATTAATTTTGACTCTATAACTATTTGTAATAGTTGTCAAGAATTCTCCTTAACTGGAAAAGGAGCACATCAATTATGTTTTTCTTTACTGATGAAAAGAAAAAAAATACCTAGAACAATATGATGATTGGAAAATTATCCTGAATTTTAAGTTAGTTCCTGTGAATTATTTATAATTTGTCATCGAATGAGAGACATTTCTGGCTCCTTGTAAGAGACTGAACATAAGATGCACAACTGCTAGATTACATATTAAAATAGAACTCTGGCCCATAACCTGCTGTAACCAGTCCAGGAAGCCAAACCACAACCTCTGTAGCACTTGGTCCAAAAATGGTTAGGACTTGATCAATAATTGACAGCTTCTTAACTTTTGTCCCTGGTTCCAACTTGCGATCAATGGGAGAAAGCCAAATATTGCTCCCCTAACCAATCTTATAGGATGCCCCATGAGTTAGTAGACCTCCAGCTTCTCCTGCCAACAGCCTCCATTAAGGGCAGACCTGAAGCCTTGCTTTTTTTCCCACTATAAAGCTTTTCCACTTCACTACCTGCCTTTGAGTTTCTGCCAAATGCAAATGATGGTGGCTGACTTCCTTGCTATAGCAAGCTTTAAATAAATAGCCTATGCTTATTCTCATTTCAATGGTCTTCATTCATTTTCACACTTAGGAGTAGGCTATGTTTTTCTAAGCCACATCCTTAAAATGTGTGACTCTTATTATCAATATTTTTATATGACTCTTAGGCAGCCTCCGTAAGTCAGTTATACCTTCCAGAAAAATGAGATCCAATTTTACCTATAGTTTGCCAAATATGAGAGTGATTTTTCACCCCAAAGTAATTAAAGCTATTATTTACAAAAGTAGACTCTTAGTTTACTGGGTATGATGCATTCAATACTTTTCTAAAATAAAGCCAAGGAATTATATTGCTTACATCTGAAAGAAAGAGTAGAATTAAAAATAGTCTTTTCAGAGAAGTTTTACAAAGATAGAATCAAAAAGCTAAAGGCACACTCAGAACAAAGGGGCTTTCATGTGCTTCATAGCTTTCTTAACCATGAAGAGGGTTGAGTAGTGAGATGGATGTTAAGCCTACTTTCAACCCATATGAAAGGGCATAAATTAAAAATAGATTATGCAAAATTTCTAATGAAAGATGAGTCTAACTTATAGGTACAACTGCCTTGAGGTCTGTTTATGCCAAGCAGTTACCATAGTAAAGCCACAATTACATGACATATCCACATTCATATTAAACCTAAAATTAAAAGACAAAAAAATCACATTAAGGGAAAAGAAACCTACTAAGGCCACAAAGGTCAAAGTTAAAGCCACCCATCAGCCTCAGGAACTCCATGTTTCTACTTGGTTCTTTATTCAAACGAGCCACCAAGTATGTTAGTACAGAACAGTGTGCTCAAGGATAGTTCCCATCTAATTCATTAATATTCTGAACATACCTCTTAAGAGATCTCTGGGAACACAAGCACTCTCTTCTTTAGAAACCCATTTCAAACCAGGTTTCTTGGCACAAGAATACCATGCATTCCCCTTTGATTTTCTAAACAAATTGCCACAAAATTATTTTTAAATCTAATTTAGTTTAACATATTTTAAGTATTTTATTTCTTTGTCAAAAATCAATTGCTTTAAAATATTTTCAATACTGTAATCAATTACTATAAGTGTTATAAACAAATTTCAATTTTATAAAATTTCTTCTTTATTAAGAAAGACCCTAAAATGTGCAGCAAAACCCTTCTTCTCAGGGAAACATGTTGATATCTAAGGCATCAATATTAATTCCCTGAAACTTCCTAGCCGGAGCATACTATGAACCAATTAGTCCACCATTATAATGAGGATTGCAGTGGAGGTCATTCTGAAGCTATCACAAGTTTATGGAAAAAACAAATTACTGTTAATTTAATTTCACCCCCATTTTTATATATTACCATCCTCACATTCCTTGCCATCAAAACTAAAATGAGTCAGTAGAGTATTGTAGTTACAAGTCCCAGACATCTATTTGACTCTTTTTGTTTCCTGATCTTATTTAAAAGAAAAAAAAAAACAAACAAAATTTTACATAAAATTAATTTAGCATTCATTAGTTTTTCTTGGTCAAATTCTGGTAAGTCTAATGGAAAGTGTGACAAAAAGGCAAGCAAGCAAATAAAACCATCTCACATCATAGTGAATTATTGGAAAATCACGTTAATAAAGAATTTGCATTATTTCATCTGTGTCCCTTCTCTAAAAGCTTTTGGAAAAGGTTTTTCACCAAAACAAGGGCATTAGCCAAGAAAAAGAAAAATATGAGATACAGGAAACAGGAGATCCCACGAGAGACACGAGGCAAAGGAAATCCCAGGGTCATTGCGAGGGAGACCCCAGGATGGCGCCTATGGCAAAGGTACAGAAAGCAGTATAGGGATCTCAAAGAGAAACTTCTCTGGAGAAAAAAAAATTAATAGAATATCTGAAGCAACTGAACATCTTGAGGGATGATTTACTCTAGGAACTGCAAACTACATACAGCCCATGGGCCCAATCTACAATAGCAGATTTGCATAGTTGTAAAAGAGACTGCAAGGTGTAAGGATTAAAAGCGTCAATGATTTATAGAATATTTTTAAGGAAAAGTTTGCCAAAAAGGTTTCAGAATGATTCACAATAAGCACATTAGAAAATTAAGCAAAAGAAAATAAAGGATGATAATTGACACCTTTGAAAACAAATAGCTGCATAGAAAAGGAGAAATAATAGTTTACTCCATGACTTCTCTGTGAATTGCATTGTACAGTTATAGTAATATAAGTGTTGAATATTCGTCTAAGCAGAATCACAGTATTTGAGGAGGATGGTGAAGGCTAGGAGAGAAAAGAGAGCTTCATCTTTGTCAT
This sequence comes from Homo sapiens, assembly GCF_000001405.40. Classification (NCBI taxonomy): domain Eukaryota; kingdom Metazoa; phylum Chordata; class Mammalia; order Primates; family Hominidae; genus Homo; species Homo sapiens. Next base: position 153,899,842 of record NC_000003.12, read on the forward strand.
ACATAATAGAAATTCAATAGGTAATGGCTAAAAATGAAAAATCAGAGAGTAACAATTAAAACCATGTTTAAACACATGACACCAAGAGAATCAACTGAAGCAGGTAAAAGTGTTGCCTCTAGTGAGGAAAAGAGAAAGAAAAAGAGTTGACACTGCTGTTTTGTTAACAAACTTTGTACAACTCTTTGACTCAAATTATGTGCATATGTAATTCCGCAAAAGATAAAATTAAGACTTAAAATAAAATAAATTTGGCCTGGCATAATATAAAAACCACACATAAAATGTTGATAGTCATTTCAGAAAGTTTTCAGGCCTGGACAATGTACTGCCCATGTGCATTTAATTCTTCTACTGATCCATGGTTAGAACAATTATCCAAAATGACCAATTCACATAATCTTTGCACCCTAATGAAAAACATTTATTGTTATATAAGAACAGTTAAGTCCCACTGATTCCATGGGACTTTAAATATACAGTTGACCTTTGTACAACATGAGTTTGAATTGTAAGAGTCCACTTATAGGTTAACTTTTCAACCAAACGCAAATCAGAAATACAGTATTTGCAGGATGCAAAACCTGCATATACAAAGGGCCGACTTTCCCTATTGGCAGATTGGGTGATGCTGACTGCAGAACTTGAGTATGCATGAATTTGGGTGTACTGTAGTGGTTCTGGAACCAATCCCCAGTGTATATGGAGGGATGACAGTAATAGATATTCTGAGAACTATTTCTCCAAGAAGTCTCAGATAATTCTGGAAGTTATTTATTTATGGTGGCACTATAAGCTAATGTTTATTTCAGCTCCTCTGCCTCAAAATGAAAAAAAGAAAAGAAAGAAAAAGGAGACAAAAGAAAGACAAATATATCCTAAGATTATTATCCAGCAAAAAAGATAAATAAGAATTCTTTGGTGCTAGGTAACAGAAAATTTTAAAATACTATATATAAAAAAAAACATGTATGTTACAGACTAAGAAAAGTATTTGCTGGAGCTATTCTCATTCTCCTCTGACATTTAACAGATTCATGCAATATTCTACCCAACTATCCTGAATGCCAAGCTATAACCAAAGCTTTCTTGTTTCTTGAATAGTGCTTTGCAATTTAGAATAGTTTTTTCTAATAATCACTGCAGTGATTTGGCTTATATTTAATGCTTTTAATTTTTACTTTGATACATAAATGACATGCAGGCTATTAAGTCTGCCTTCAAAACTAAAGGCATTCCTACATATTATCACAGATACTACACAAAATTGAGTTTCTCTTTGTATGTGCATGTATAATTCAAAATTGAAAATACCATTGCATTTAATGTTCCTGATTCTCCTAGCAATAATTTGTCCTTTTCATACTACATCTAAGACTTGATTCATCAACTATGAGATCATTACTATTTGGGTGCTGGCATCCTAGAATATAAGAGTGATAGAATACAATGAGCCTTGTGTTGAGAAACTTTTACAAGCAGCAAAGAATGCATATAATATGAAAGAAGAGATGAGCTCATGCATAAGATGTATTAGTGTGAACTGAGGTATTGAAAATTGGTATGCCTTAATGTCAAATAAAGATCTTAATCTTATTTGACTCTTTGAATCTAAGGACTATAAGATTGAATGATGTGGTTATAGTCATTTGAAGTCTAAATTTTCTAACTTTTAATACCTTTTGTTCAAAGTGACTGCGTAATCGAAAGAAAACCTAGAAGAATCAGTCAAGTTTTTGAAGATATATTTGGTACTATTTTCAGTAGATTTTTAAACTGTGCCTACATAAAATCAGAACATCAGGATGAAAATTAAATTCAGTCAACCAGAAAGTGTTGAATACAAACCAAAAATACAGATGAAGGATAACAAAGTATAAATCCTAAAGCTTCATGGAAATTTTATTTTTGCTTTATTTCTTGTATTAGCAAGCCCTTCTGATTCTTTAGGCTTTCATCTAATACCATGCCACTGAATCATTTTACTCTATACTCTCTCTTTGGGATCTCACATTTTCTGAGAGATTACATTCCTGTTTATCCTTGAAAAGTTTTACAAAAAAAATCTTACTGTTTTCTCTTTTAAATCTGTCATTCTACTCCCCAAGATTGGTTTTATTGCTAAAAATCTCTCTTTTCCTCATAACTTCCCAGCTGCCTTCCCACTCAAAGGAAACACAATTTTCCTTCCCTGACTTTAGATTAGGAAAGCAAAACTACCCAAAATAACTTAAATAATTTAAACCAACCAGCATCCTCTTTTAAGCAGAGTTTTTTTTATGACTCAACACGCGTCACCTAACTTGATCCTGATTTTGGAATTCCTACAATTTCAGCCATTTCAACGGAATCATCTAATGTTAAGCTTTGTCTTATGGTCCCATGGTCTGCTTTTCTTGGAGAGGTGTCTCTGTTCTCTGCCTTTTGAGTTCTTTATCTGGTTTTCAACCCACTGCTTTATTTATTTGCCCTGGCTCCTGTGTGGTCCTTGATTCCTCACTGGTCACCAACATTTTTCATTCATTAAATTTTTTATTCAACAAATATTTATTGATGACCTTGTTTGAGCAAGGCACTGTGCCACGTACAGTGAGGAATTTTTTTGTTTGTTTGTTTGTTTTTTGAGACGGAGTCTCGCTCTGTCGCCCAGGCTGGAGTGCAGTGGTGATATCTCTGCTCACTGCAAGCTCCGCTTCCCGGGTTCACGCCATTCTCCTGCCTCAGCCTCCCAAGTAGCTGGGACTACAGGCGCCCGCCTCCACGCCCGGCTACTTTTTGTATTTTTAGTAGAGACAGGGTTTCACCATGTTAGCCAGGGTGGTCTCCATCTCCTGATCTCGTGATCCGCCCGCCTCGGCCTCCCAAAGTGCTGGGATTACAGGCGTGAGCCACCGCGCCCGGCCCCTACAGCGAGGAATTTTTGAAAGTCAAACATTATAATAAAGCCTGCACACAAGAGGCTAAAATAAAAAGAAGGATACATGAGCCTACCATAGCAGAGTTTTGGAAAATAGTGTGAATTGTGATCAAAGGGATTACTGGGACAAGAGGTTGGGACATGGAATGAAAAAAAGGACGAGGTTGGGACATGGAATGAAAACAACTTTCATGGAAAAAATAAACATGGATAGAATTTGAAAATCTAAGATATGTGCACACTTTGGGGGGCTGTAGGCAGGTGGTAGTACACAGGGTGATTCAAAAAGGGAAGAATTTCAGGCAGAGGAAACATGAGTTGTATCAGGCATAGAAACCTGGAACAAAATATTTATGTTTGCTCAGACCTCAGTCTGAAGGAAAGGAAGAGCAGTAAAAATGAGAGTAACCACCTCCAGTTCACTTTACTCCCAGTTTTCTTGGTACAAAAGAGTGAATAAGATCTTTATCTGCATAAGAATCAGGGACTTTTGTCACGTGAAATATGAATGAGGAGTATTACTTGGCTAGCACTTTAGAGAGCATTTGTAATCTATATGATATTAATCAGGAAGTGATTAAACAGCAATGCCCTTTTCTACATTTGCCTGGAAATGCTCAATGGTGTAACACAAGCAAGAGCCATGAGGATGCTTCACAAATAAAGGATCCATTTTCAGTTGATTGCAAATAAGAGGAGATTCTTTCAGCTTAAAGGACTTTCAAGCCCTTTCTATCAATTTGCCCAATAAGAATATTTCCCTGAAGTAGTGATGGTTATGTTGGGATGTAATCAATGACCAAGAGCTAGTGAAAGGGGTAAATGTGACACAGGTGTTGCAAGGGGAGGGCACAGCACACACAAAGGCCTAGTGGTGGAAGGGAGAAGGGCACTTTCAAGGAACTGAGAGTCTGTAGCAGCACAGGAGGGAGGGGCAGAGTGTAGCAAGGGTAACAGGAGATCACTAAAGGGCCTTGACTGGGTATACAGCTTCTGGTGGATACCCAAAGAGCAAGGAGAAGCCATACAAAAGTTGTAAGCAGGAGAGTGACATAATCAGAGTTTAACTTCTTTTTTTTATTATTATTCTTTAAGTTCTAGGGTACATGTGCACAACATGCAGGTTTGTTACATATGTATACATGTGCCATGTTGGTGTGCTGCACCCATTAACTCGTCATTTACATTAGGTTCTTCTCATAATGCTATCCCTCCCCACTCTCCCCACCCCACGACAGGCCCCGGTATGTGATGTTCCCCTTCCTGTGTCCAAGTGTTCCCATTGTTCAATTCCCACCTATGAGTGGGAACATGCGGTGTTTGGTTTTTTGTCCTTGTGATAGTTTACTGAGAATGATGGTTTCCAGCTTCATCCATGTCCCTACAAAGGACATGAACTCATCCTTTTTTATGGCTGCATAGTATTCCATGGTGCATATGTGCCACATTTTCTTAATCCAGTCTATCAGAGTTTAACTTCTTAAAGACTATTCTGGATATTGTGGGGCAGTGATTGGAGTAGAGCAAGAGTGGACACGAGATCAGTTAGAAGCTATAACAGTAATCTAGCAGATAGATGGCAGTGCTTAGGCTAGAATATTTGTGGTGAGAGAAATAAAAGAAAGTAGATGGAATCAAGAAGTATTTGGAAGACAAAACTAACTGCATTCAGAAGCTGATAAAAAATAAAAGTAAATAAGGAGATAATTTATCAGAATTACTCCCACATTTCTATTTGCAGAATTTGATAGATGGTAGACTCATCAATAAGAGTTATGGAATAGAAGAAAGTCACATTTGAAGGGAAAGATAAGTTTATTCGTGGATATAAGGTTAAAGTATTCTTAGGACATCAGGAGTAGTATACATAGAGTCTCCCATTCCCTGCAGCTACAGTAGAATAATCTGAAGGTTGGGCCCACGATTAATTACAACAACAGAGCAACTGCAGAGTAAGTTGAGTCCTCCACCCCCTCAGGTATGCTATACCAAGGTCAGGGCCATTTTTGAAAAAGAGTGGGGTCGGGAGACTTGGGATAAAGACATCTGGGCAAGTGCACTGGAGATTTATTAATCCTTAAAGTCCCTGAGTCCTCCGGACCTGGAGAATTGGACAATTTGTTTCTATTTAAGGCTAGCAATGCCTCCTTTGTTGAAGATGATGCAAGGTCTCTGCCATGAAAGATGTATTGGTCAGGATTCCATCAGAGAAATTAGACCCGTAGGAAATATACATTAAGAGATTTATTGCAAGAAATTAGTTTAAGCAATTGTGACAACTAGCTTGGCAAGTCTAAAATGTACAGGGCAGGCTATCAGGAATGGCAAATTGGAACTTTCAAGCAATACTGAAACTGCAGTCCACAGGTGAAATTTCTTCTGGGAAGCCTCAGTTCAGTTCTTACAGCCTTTCAACTCATTGAATCATACTCACCCAGATTGTGTAGGGTAATTTTCCTGGCTTAAAGTAAACTGGTTATAGACTTTCATCACAACTGCAGAATACCTTGACAGCACCACTTTGATGAGAAATTGCTTTAATAACTGTTGATTATAGTCTAGCTAAGTTGGCACATAAAACCGACCATCATACACGATATCATTTGTGCCCATCAAGATTTAGCCGCACCTCGCCTCCTGGTCTCCAGGCCAATGACTAGGGCTAATTCACAGTATAACCAGCAGGGAAGGTGTATTATACAAATGTAGGGCTCTAGTATCTTCTCCAGGACATGAACTGGCAAGAATCAGGAGAGTGTATATAGGATCCTGAAAGTGCTGTATGAAAATGGGGGTGAGAGAACAGAATATGAACTTGGATAAGGGAGAGTATATCAATATTGGATCAACCCTCTCTTGTAACACGAAATTTAATATGCTGGCAAACACCTCAAGAGATGGTGATAAAACAGTGAAGTAGTAATGCTAGCACTGCCATAGCAGTCAGTGGTAGGAAAGACTAAAACGAGCAGAGAAGTGGCCATGCCAGAATGAATGTAGTATTTAATCTAGAAAATTTATTAGCTGACTATGATCCATGTGAGGGCCCAGAGGACATTGGATTTACCAAAGCAATACAGAGCATGCTGGTGAGAGAAGTATTAACGTGATTGAGAAGCTCAGTGACGGTTGTCTTATGGATCCCAGGGCTGAAGGTAGGAGGTGCTGTTACAAAAACCAGTGATGATAGGACCCCAGAGTAACAAAGCTTGGTGTCAGAAACAGGTGCAATTTTTGGAACAAATGACAAGGTCAGAGTCATCCAGGGATCCTGACCTGCAGAGATCTACAGAAATGTTTAATAGAATGTGGTGTTCTAGGATAAAAATAGGTGGAAAACCAGAAAAATATTGTTTAATTTTTATAACCAAAAGAAATTGAATATGATAATTGGAAGGTTGAGGGCAAATGACCCTCCCAAAAATATTGATGACTTACCCAGTTTCCAAACCTAAGGTAGATCTTAGGCTTGAAACACATTAACTAAAAAGGGTTTGGATTCTCATGGGAAAGAACCATTTAATTCTATAACAATAACATAAGGTAAGGATTCTCCTTAGTTCTTCTCCAAAGGGACCTATGGTCATTTATTTGGGTAAACACATACCAGGTAATAGTCAGAACTTTTGAGAATGTTGGTAAGAGTCTGAATTGCTGTGGATATCTAACAACCTAAAGTATTATCTTGACACCCATATTAGAGTGAGGGGTACATGGGATTAGAGTAGGTCATCTCTGTTCATGATTATTTCTCTACTACCTGAATGAAAGCTCAAACTGGACACACTTCGTAATTGGCAGTAACCCTATGTTGATTCAGTGACATGTGATATAAGAGCTCTCAGAGTTGCCAAGACCGTGTGTAAACTCCTGGAATTGATTTCCTATCCAAAACTGAGATTGCAAATTTTAAAAAACAATATCAAAGTGAGTAATGACAGATTAATCTCACCATTAAAAATTAAAGTATGCAGAGTGGTGGTCCTATCTGTTATTTTGGGATAGATCTTCAACTCCAAACCCACTCACCTTTACTTTGTTTTGTGATGCTGGGGCTGGTTCTCTGAAAACCAAATATTGGGCTTGTCATCTGGCTGCATGATTTCCTATGTATCAAGGATGCTAGAAGAGTCTGCAAGGCTGTTTGCTTTCTGTAGGCTGGCTTGCTTGCTTGCTTTTTCTCTCTCTTTCTTTCGTTTTTTTTTTTGTTTGTTTGTTTTTTTTTTTTTTTTTTTTTGGCTTACTCTATCACCCAGGCTGGAATGCAGTGGTGCAATCTTGGCTCACTGCAACGTCCGCCTCCCAGGTTTAAGTGATTCTCTTCCCTCAGCCTCCCAAGTAGCTGGGATTACAGGTGCATGCCACCACGCCCAGATAATTTTTGTATTTTCAGTAGAGACAGGGTTGCACCATGTTGGCCAGGCTGGTCTTGAACTCCTAACCACAGGTGATCTGCCCGCCTCAGCCTCACAAAGTGCTGGGATTACAGGCATGAGCCACACACCCTGGCCTCTGTGGGCTTTCTTTATCACATGTTAACACCCACCCGAGAACCATGGAAGAGGCACTAAACAACCAGGTAGGCAGAATGAGTCAGCTAATTGATGTCAGCCAGGGTCTGTTATTGCTGGCATAATCACTCATGAGTGCCATGGCCATGGTAACAGGGATAGAGACTCTACATGGATCCAACAGTATGAGCTTCAACTTACTAAGGATAATCTAGCTTCTTCTATGGAATGGTCAACTTGCCAGCAGCAGAAATAAACACTGAGCTCCCAATATAGTATCACTCCTTAAGCACTTGGTGAAAAGGTAGTTTGGACTCCATCTATTCTCAAATGAGCAGAAATTTATCTCAACTAGACTTGTCACAACTTTGGGTACTGGTTTACCTTTTCTGCCCACAGGGCTTTAGGCAGCACTACTGTCTAAGAGCCTACAGAGTACTGCTCAATTGACAATAAATACCATATAACATCACCTCAAACAAAGAGACTCACTTTATAGAAAAAGAGGTATGGCAATGACTATGGCATGCACTAAGCCTATACCACACCATACCAACTAGTAGCTTCCAGCCTGATAGAACAACAAGACAATCTTTCCAAGGTGCAGCTAAAGCACCAAATGGAGGTGAGACCCTAAAAGGATGGGACATCATCTACCAGGATTAATTATACATCCTAAACAATGAGCATTATATGGTGCTGTGTTTCCAGTAGGTAGAGTATATGGGACCAGCGGCAAAGGGGTGAAAGTAGGAATGGCCTCACTTACCATCCCTCCTAGTGACTCAGTTGGGAATTTTCTACCACAAGTTTAGACATTACGGGTCTAGAGACCCTAATTCCCAAAGAGGAAATTCTTTCATGAGAAGACACAGCAGGACTTCCACTTAACTTTGAGTTATGGCTACTAAATTCAGGTCCATTGTACCAAGAGACCAAAAAGTAAGGAAAGGAGTTGTCACATGACAAAGGTAATTGACCTTGATCAGAAGGAAGTGGGGCTACTGTTACACAATGTGGATAGGGAAGAGTGTTACTGGCACCCAAGTGATCCACTGGGACATCTCTTGGTACTCTTCTGCCCAACTGTAAATGAACTGGGCAAATGGACAAGTCCAGCAACCATAGCCCGAGAAGGACATGGTGACTTTGGGTCACCATGAGGGAATGGGTATGAAAATCAGTTGTGGTCTCAAGACTAGATATAACAGCTGGAGCTCTAGTTCTTCCTATTAACATTCATTGTGTAAGATTTCCCAAGAAATGAGACCAATAAGAAGCTTGGAGCAACTACTCCTCAGTGTGGTGAACTTACCATATGAAGCAAATGGATCTGAGCAGGCCAATGGATATATTCACCCATGCCATCTTTCTAAAAGAGGAATTCATTTCCCCAGGTGACTGATGGGTTTGTTAGTTGCTGGGGCCTCACAGCTGTATTTCTCTCCTGGAAGTGCCAAAGGGAACCTCCTTACCCAAGGTTTCTCCCCTTCTATTTTAATGCTGGTTAATACAACTATAGACAAAGGACCTACCCTCTTACATCAATTCAGAAAAACTCTGAAGAACCATGCCAGTTCCAGAGTTCCCATTAGATCTGGAAAGGCCTCTGGTACAAATGCATCAGTTTGGCAAGCTCTCCTTTTCAATCCTGCCTCCCCAAATTCTTTATAGTCTCTTCTGAAAGTACTCTCCATAAACTTCCAACATACAAACCTCTTTCTAAAATCTGTTTCCAGAAAACCCAACCTGAGATTAAACTTATTCCCGAAAGTCAAATCTGTATGCAGAGTGGGTACTGATGCCAGTTTGGAATGTATTGAGGAGTAGGTGGGAGAGGAGGAAATGAAATAAAATTTGGTTAAATAAAGAGAAAGAATTAGAGCAGTAGTTCTAGTTTCTCAATGCCCTCATTTGTAAAATGGATATTAATAATAGTACTATACTTCAAAGATATTTTATCCTTTTGTTACAGATTGAGAGGATAATGTTGCTATACACCACAGGGTGTATTTTTATTAATCATCATTTTACCAATTAGGAAATTGAGGTACAGAAAAATTATGACTTGTTCAAAACTTTAGACATATTAAGGATTAGAACCAGGATACAAACTCAGGCAAACCTGACTATAAAGTCTGTATACGGATCTACCATTTTCTACTGCTTCTTCAGAAGACAAGAGGGATTGAGGCAGGGGTGGGCTAGAGCTGAGTTGTACTAGATGCAAAGCCTATGTGCTCATCTCTTTCCATGCATAGTGTGTTGATGTCATATTAGTAGCTTAAAATCAGCCATGGTGGTAAGTTTTACACTACAGAAATCAGCAAATGTTGCAAATCAGGATTTCTTTTTTCAGAAGGCTATTTGTTAAACATTAGCAGAAGACTATTGGATTGGTCTTAAAGGGAGGGACACCATCTCAACTGTGATAAGAAGGAACAAAGAAAAGATGAATACAGATTCACAAAAATAAGCAGGGTCAGTGGTGGGAAATCAAGGTGATTTCTATTTTCTCCATGTGGAATCTGGTGGCAAGACCATCTATTAAGAGTTGGGGGACAGGTGTGGTATCAAATGATTGTGGGGAAGATCATTATCACTTAGTATAATTCCCACAATAATAAGGATGAATTAAATTATAGCTGTTATTATCAAATATGCCGTTGACCATTTATACTCTGACCATAATTACGGAACAGCATACAATTCTCATTACAGAGTGTCAATTTAATTATTCTTAACAAATCCTTTTGCTTTACAAGTCCAGAATTGAAGAACTCCTTCAATTATTATTGAATATAAATTTCTTAACCAAATGAATTCTATTTATTAGATTTAAGAATTTTGTGACCTGAATGACAAAACAACACAGTATGTACAGCCTTCCTTTGAAATTCGATCAAAGCTTGTCACGTGCCCTATAAAAGTTACTCTTTCTCATATTTCATCTCAATGACTCTGAGAAATGTGCATGTTTGTGTCATTTTCATTGTCCAGTATCTCTCTTTTTAATAATTAACATTAAGATTGTTTACATGAAAGAGATTACTTGCATTTTACAGTGTGCTGAAAAGGAAACAGAAAAGAAGGAAAGAGAAGGAAAGCCTGTAACTCTGTGACAAGCATATTTGGGGGAAAAAGAAGCCCCAGGGCAGAGTTAAGAATGAATGAAGCTGAAATTTAATCCCTGGGATCTGTGGGGCATTGGAAAGGGCAAAGAGATGCCACAAGCTGACTGAGAAGTGATCTGGGGGGCTCAGCAGGCAGTAGACAAAGAATGGAGCCTTCTGAGGGCTGAAATGGTGCATCACCTGCATAAGCACCTGTTCCAGATCACCAGCTTTAACACGCACTGGCATGTGTCAATCTCACTTTGGTTTTCAGGGCTTTGAAATAAAAAATATGACATATAGGGCTTTTCAGAAGGAGTAAAATGAAAACAAAAAGTTGCTAATCTATTGTGTCTCCCATAATCACTTTATAAAAGAACTCAGTGTTTAAAAGTTATGTTAGACACATTTGGATGAAAAATATTTTTACTTAAGTATGTCATTTCTAGTAATTTTGTGGGGGAAGAGAAACAATTCTTAGGAAAGGAAAATCTTTATGCAGTTTTTCATCCTGTAACACTTTATCCATGCATCCTATAACCTTGTAAGCTAAGAAGATCTTATTTTATCATAAAATAATGACTTAGCATTAGCTTCGTAACTGTTATTCAGAGTAGAATTTAACACTAAGGAGAAAAAAATTAAGCTCTGTCATCATAGGGCTAAATTATTTCTAATGTCCCCTACAGCAGTAAGTGTAGAACACAGCTGAGGGCTTAAAATTCTTTCATCAGAGAACACAATTATTTTATGAAAAGGAAAGACTATATGTCAATGATTTTAGTTGCTGTTTTTATGGTTTGTTAAATAATTAGTCTGATTCAAAACTAGGACATATTCTGAAAAGTCAGCTTCTTATCCTCATGGGATTACTGCTGTATTGTACACTGCTCACAGTACTGAGTTTAAAACATTTGCTGGTGTAATGATGCAGCAAAAGCCAGGGCATGGGTTTGGTGGAAAGAAATGTCAAGTATGTAAGTGAGATCAAGAGATGAGAGAGAACTAAAGGAAAACAATCCTGTGGGACCAATGATACAAATTTATCTAGACAACTGTTGGGTCAGGTCAGAATATTTCTGAATATTTATTTCAGCCGGTAACACCTTACGTTCACCTTTTATTCAGCTCCTCTTCAGTATAATTGTATTCACTCATTCAGTAAGCATTTACCCTACTTAGTGCCAGTTACCAGTGTGCTGGGCTCTGCAGCTGCAGCACACAAATGGGAGAAATGGTGACATAAAGAGATAACTACAATGCAATATAGAAACAGTGTTTTGTTTCAATACAATTCAGCTCAGATCAAATATAGCAGCATGAGGTCAAAGAACTAGCCTTGATGTGTTCCATCATTGCATCTGGAAATGGGGATAAATACACATACTTGCCCATGTCGTTGAGCTCAAATGCATGACTTCTAAGTCTTCATCCATAATAATAACAGGCAGTGTATGGTTTGATGCTTAATGTTACCAGTAACGTGGCCAAAAAGGTATGGAAAGGGGCAGAATTAATTTGACCTGATGAAATCATGCAGCCCAGAAAAGTAAACTAGCCATGGGCAGAGAAAATGCTGGTCAGGAGTATGTGGGCAAAACTAGAGATACTGAAATGCACATGGCTTTTTTGTGTAACCAATTGATTTATTGCACTGGTTCCCTCCTTCCCATTTTTCCCTCTCCTTGTATTCTCTTCTCCTCTCTATATGAACTTATATGATCTTGTTAAGGGGTAGGTAGAGTAAACTTGCATCACTTAGTCTTTGCTCTGGATTGCTTCCAGCTAATTGCCTGTGTAATCCCTCTAATCTGGGTCATCAGGAAAAGAACTCAGTTTTCACAACATAAGCACTGAATAATCCAGCTGCTAAGATTTGGCCTCATGGGATGTAAGACGTACAATTTTTGAGCTAACTTTAGTCAATCAACTGATCGACCCAACATACACACAATCTGTTGATATTCTATAAGTCAAAATTAATAAACTGTTCTCCAAACTCACCCCCATTACACCTTTGAACTTCTCACCTCAAGTTACTTTTCCACATTACTCCTAACTACAGCCTTGCATAAGCCTCTACCATTCTATCCATTCTTACTGCTTTTCTTCTTACCCTGATCACCATGGTATTCCTGCCTCCCTATGTTTATTTAGAAGTGAAGTATGACTCAGTAAACCTTCTAGATACTTTCATGCCAAGCTGAAGGCCACCTTATCAGAGGGAGTTCACCTTGATGATCCCTAGACCTATTATGCTCTTCCATAGCTTACTGGGTAGAGAGAACAGGCTTCACCTGGTTTCACAGCCTGACTTGGACACTGACTATGTGACCTTGGGAAAGTTGTCCACCACCTTGTCTCCATTTCATCATCTGTAAGATACAGATATTTTAACTTACCTTATGAGGTTGTTGTGAGTACTAAATGAGACAAATCAAGTAAAGTGCTAGAAGGAGTGCCCAGCACATATGAAGTACATGATAATGATAACTATTCTTATTTATTAGTAGAAATAACAATGAAGGGGAGGGACCAAGATGGCCCATGAGAAGCAGCTATGGTCTGTGGCACTCACGAAGAGGAATGAAAGCTGCGAGTGAATTCAGCACCTTCAACTAAAATATCCAAGTTCTCACATTGGGACTGACTAGGCAAACAACTCAATCCATAGAGAATGAAGAAAAGCAAAGTGGGGCGATGGCCCACCCAGGAGCACCACGGAGCCAAATGAACCCCAAACCACATCCCGGGAAACCAGGTGTCTCCCACGGATCTTTGCAATCTGCAGATCAGGAGATCCTCTCGTGAGCCCATGTCATCAGGACCTTGAGTCCGATACACAAAGCTGTGTGGAGTCTCAGCAGAACAGCTACTTGGGCACACACAAAGACCCAGGAGCTTTATGTACCCCAGCTCCAGGATCCCTGGCAAGGGGGGAGATCTGCCTGTACATATGCCCAGCAAAGGGGCTGAATCCAGGGAGTCAAGGAGTGTCATTCTGCAGGCCCCACTTCCCATGGCACCTCAAAAGTTAAGACACACTGGCTTGGAATTCCAGCCAGCCAATGGCAATGCTAGGCAGGCTAGAGTCAGCCTGAGATAGGACCCAGTTCCTCCGGGGCAGAGGTGACCTCCATCTCTGCACTTCGGTAGATTCAGACGTTTTAGCCTACTGGAGTTGGAGAATCTAAACAGTCTGGAGGAGGAAGGGTCCCCCACAACGCAACACAACTGCCTTGCCACAGGGTGGCCAGACTGCTTCTTTAAGTGGGACCCCAATCCATTCCTCCTCACTGGGCGGGAACTTCCTGTGGAGGCTTCAGCTGCTTCAGCCAGGGTTTTATGGAGAGAGCTCTGATCTCTCCCTGATATGGAGCTCCTTGGGGGAAGGGCAGCCACCATCTCTGTGGTCTAGCTGGCTAAGCCATGCCAGCCTGCCGGATTTGGAGAACCCAGAAAGTCTGGACGAGGAAGGGTCCCCCCAGTGCAGCACACCTGCTCTACCAAAAAGCAATCAGACTGAGATTCTTTAAACAGGTCCCTGATCCTGTTCCTCCTGACTGGGTGAGACATCCCAACAACTAGAAAAAACTGGTTGCCTCAGTTTTTCCTATACCTGGAGGTATCTCCAGTGAAGGCCATGAAACAGCAAAAATGGCCACCTGCTCTTTCCTCTGGAAGCTCTGTCCCAGGGGGCTACTGACCTGTTGCTGTCCTGAGTGTTCCTGTAAGAGGTGGCCAACAGGACTGAGGCTGAAATGGCTGAAGTGACAGAAGTAGGCTTTAGAAAGTGGGTAATAATGAACTTTGCTGAGCTAAAGGAGCATGCTGTAACCCATTGCAAAGAAGCTAAGAATCATGATAAAACAATACAGGAGCTGATAGAATAGCCAGTTTAGAGAGAAACATAACTGACCTGATAGAGCTGAGAAACACAACACGAGAACTTTACAATGCAATCACCAGTATCAACAGCAGGATAGATCAAGTGGAAGAAAGAATCTTAGACCTTGAAGACTATCTTTCTGAAATAAGACAGGCAGACAAGATTAAAGAAAAAAAGAATGAAAAGGAATAAACAAAACTCCAAGAAATATGGGATTAGGTAAAGAGACCAAACTATGACTCACTGGTCCTGCCCAGTGAGAAGGAATGGATTGGGATCCCACTTAAAGAAGCAGTTTGGCCATGATCTGGCAAGGCAGTTGTGCTCTTCCAGACTGTTTGGATTCTCCAATACCAGCAGGGTGGAATGTCTGAGCCTACAGAAGTGTAGAGATGGAGGCCACCCCTTCCCCCAGGAACTGGTTTCCCTCTCAGGCAGATTCTTACCTATTGCCATTGTCTGCCTGGAATTCCAAGCCAGTGTGTCTTAACTTGTGAGGTACACGAAAGAGACAAGGAGAATGGAACCAAGTTGGAAAACATACTTCAGGGTATCATCCAGGAGAACTTCCCCAACCTAGCAAGACAGGCCCACATTCAAATTAACGAAATCCAGAGAACCCCAGTAAGATACTCCATGAGAAGATTAGCCCTAAGACACATAATTTTCAGATTCTCCAGGGTCGAAATGAAAGAAAACATGTTAAGGGCAGCCAGAGAAAAAGGCCAGGTCACCTACAAAGGGAAGCTCATCAGACTAACAGTGGACCTCTCAGTGGAAACCCTACAAGCCAGAAGAGATTGGAGGCCAACTTTCAATATTCTTAAAGAAAAGAATTTCCAACCCAGAATTTCCTATCTGGCCAAACTAAGCTTCATAAGTGAAGGAGAAATAAGATCCTTTTTCAGACAAGCAAATGCCATTCATCACCACCAGGCCTGCCTTGCAAGAGCTCCTGAAGGAAGCACTAAACATGGAAAGGAAAAACCATTACCAGCTACTACAAAAGCACACTGAGGTACACAGACCAGTGATACTAAGAAGCAACCACATAAACAGGCCTACATAATAACCAACTACCATCATGATGACAGGATCAAATTCACATATAACAATACTAATGTTAAATGTAAATGGGCAAAATGCCCCAATTAAAGGACACAGAATGGCAAGCTGGATAAAGAGCCAAGACCCACTGGCATACTGTCTTCAGGAGACACATCTCACGTGGAAAGACACACATAGGCTCAAAATAAAGGGATGCAGGAAAATTTACCAAGCAAATGGAAGAGAAAAAAGCAGGGGTTGCAATCTGAGTTTCTGACAAAACAGACTTTAAACCAAGGAAGATAAAAAAGACAAAGAAGGGCATTACACAATGGTAAAGGGTTCAATTCAACAAGAACTAACTATTCTAAATATATATGCACCCAATACAGGAGCATCCAAATTCATAAAGCAAATTCTTAGAGACCTACAAAGAGACTTAGACTCTCACACAATAATAGTGGGAGACTTTAACACCTCACTGACAATATTAGACAGATCATCAAGACAGAAAATTAACAAAGATATTTAGGACCTGAACTCAGCTCTAGACTTGAATTCTAGTTCAAGAGGACCTGATAGATAACTACAGAACTCTCCACCCAAAAACAATAGACTACACATTCTTCTTATCTCTACACGGCACTTACTCTAAAATTGACCACATAATTGGAAGTAAAACAATCCTCAGCAAATGCAAAATAACTGAAATAATAACAAATGGTTTCTCAAACCATAGCATAATCAAATTAGAACTCAAGATTAAGAAACTCTTTCAAAATCACACAACTACATGGAAATTGAACAATCTGCTCCTGAATGACACTTGGGTAAATAATGAAATTGAGGCAGAAATCAAGAAGTTCTTTGAAACTAATGAGAACAAAGAGTCAATATACCAGAATCTCTGGGATGCAGCTGAAGTGCAGTGTTAAAAGGGAAATTTACAGCCCTAAATGCCCAGATCAAAAAGCTAGAAAGATCTCAAATCGACAACCTCACAACTAAAAGAACTAGAAAACCAAGAGCAAACAAACCCCAAAGCTAGCAGAAGACAAGAAATAACCAAAAACAGAGCTGAACTGAAGGAGAGACATGAAAAACCCTTCAAAATATCAATCCAGGAGCTGTTTTAAAAAAATAGTAAAATAGATAGACTGCTAACTAGACTAATAAAGAAGTATTAAACACAATCAGAAATAATAAGAGGAATATCACCGCTGACCCCACAGAAATACAAACAACCATCAGACAAGACTATAATCTCTATGCACATAAACTAGAAAATCTAGAAGAAATGGATGAATTTCTGGAAATATACACCATCCCAAGACTGAATCAAGAAGACACTGAATCCCTGAACAGACCAATAACGAGTTCTGAAATTGAGGCAATAATAAATAGCCTACCAATCAAAAAAAGGCCCAGGACCAGACGGATTCACAGCTGAATTCTTCAAGAGGTAGAAGAGCTGGTGCCATTTCTACTGAAACTATCCCAAACAATTGAAAAGGAGGGACTTCTCCCTAATTCATTCTATGAGGCCAGCATCATCCTTTTACCAAAACCTGTCAGAGATACAACAACAACCACAACAAACTTCAGGCCAATATCTCTGATGAACACTGATGCAAAAAATCCTCAATAAAATACTGGCATACTGAATCCAGCAGCACATCAAAAAGCTTATCCACTATGACCAAGTTGGCTTCATCCCCAAGATGCAAGGTTGGTTCAACATACACAAATCAATAAACGTGACTCACCCCATAAACAGAACTAAAGACTAAAATCACATGATTGTCTCAGTAGATGCAGAAAAGACCTTCAATAAAATTCAACATTGCTTCATGTTAAAAACTCTCAATAAACTAGGATTGAAGGAACATACCTCATAATAATAAGAGCCATATATGACAAACCCACAGCCAACATCATACTGAATGGGCAAAAGCTGGAAGCATTCTCCTTGAAAACTGGCATTAAGACAAGGCTGCCGTCTCTCACCACTCCTACTCAACAGTATTGGAAGTCCTGGACAGGACAATCAGGCAAGAGAAAGAAATAAAGCATATTCACATAGCAAGAGAGGAAGTCAAATTGTCTTTGTTTGCATATGAAATAATCCTGTATTTAGAAAAACCCATTATCTCAGCCCAAAAGCTTCTTAAGCTGATAAGCAACTTCAGCAAAGTCTCGAGATACCAAAATCAATGTGGAAAAATCACTAGCATTCCTATACACCAACAACAGGCAAGCTAAGAGCCAAATCATGAATGAACTCCCATTCATAATTGCTACAAAAATAAAATACCTAGGAATACAGCTAACAAGGGGAGTGAACAACCTCTTCAAAGAGAACTACAAACCACTGCTCAAAGAAATCAGAGAAGAAACAAATGGAAAACATTCCAAGCTCATGGATAAGAAGAATCAAGATTGTAAAAATGGCCATACTATCCAAAGTAATTTACAGATTCAATGTTATTCCCATCAAACTACCATTGACTTTCTTCACAGAATTAGCAAAAACTATTTTAAAATGCATATGCAATCAAAAAATAGCCCAAATAGCCAAGACAATTCTAAGCAAAAAGAACAAAGCTGGAGGCATTATGCTACCTGACTTCAAACTATCCTACAAGGCTACAGTAACCAAAACAGCATGGTACTGGTACAAGAACAGGCACATAGACCAATGGAACAGAATAGAGAACTCAGAAATAAGACTACACACCTACAACCATCTGATCTTCAACAAACCTGACAAAAACAAGCAATGGGGAAAGGATTCCCTGTTTAATAAATGGTGCTGGGAGAACTGGCTAGCCATATGCAGATAATTGAACTGGAACCCTTCCTTATACCATCTACAAAAATTAACTCAAGATAGATTAAAGACTTAAATGCAAAACCTAAAACTGTAAAAACCCTACAAGAAAATCTAGGCAATACCATTCAGGAAATAGACACAAGCAAAGATTTCATGACAAAAATGCTGAAAGCAATTTCAATGAAAGCATAAATTGACAAATGGGATATAATTCAACCAAAGAGTTTCTGCACAGAAAAATAAACTATCATCAGAGTAAACAAATAATTTTCTCCATTCTGTAGAATTGGAGAAAATTTTTGCAATCTATCCATCTGACAAAGGTCTGATATCCAGAATCTACAAGGAACTTAAACAAAATTACAGAATGGGAGAAAATTTTTGCAATCTATCCATCTGACAAAGGTCTGATATCCAGAATCTACAAGGAACTTAAACAAATTTCCAAAAATAAAACCCAAACAACCCCATTAAAAAGTGGGCAAAGAACCTGAACAGACACTTCTCAAAAGAAGACATTTATGTGGCCAATAAACATATGAAAAAAAGCTCAACATCACTGATCATTAGAGAAATGCAAATCAAAACCACAATGAGATACCATCTCAAAATCGCAATTACTTTTGCACCAATCTAATATTAAAAAGTCGAAAAGACAACAGATGCTGGTGAGGTTGTGGAGAAAAATGTATGCTTTTACACTGTTTGTAGGAGTGTAAATTAGTTCATCCATTATAGAAGAAAGTGTAGTGTGGTGATTTTTCAAAGACCTAGAGGCAGAAATACCATTTGTCCCAGTAATCCCATTACTGGGTACATACCCAAATAATTATAAATTATTCTATTATAAAGAAACATGCATGCATATGTTCATTGCAGCACTATTCACAATAGCAAAGACATGGAATCAACCTAAATGCCCATCAGTGATAGACTGGATAAAGAGAACATGGTATATATACACCATGGAATACTATGCAGCCATAAAAAGGAATGAGATCATCTCCGTTGCAGGGACATGGATGTAACTGGAATCCGTTATCCTTAGCAAACTAATACAAGAACAGAAAACCAAACACTGCATGTTCTCACTTATAAGTAGGAGATGAACAAAGAGAACACATGAACACATGGGGTTGGAATCAACACACACTGGGGCTTGGTGGAAGATAGGCTGTGGGAGGGAGAGCACCAGGAATAGCTAATGGATGCTGGGCTTAATACCTAGGTGATGGGATGACCTGTGCAGCAAACCACGATGGCACAAGTTTACCTATGTAACAAACCTGCACATCCTGCTCATGTACCCCTGAACTTCAAGTTGAAGAAGAAAAAAAGAAATAACTGCGGTAACAAGTAATTAAGTAGCTTCTATCTTCCAGGTGTTGTGCCCTGCATAACCTTGGCATGACATGTTATTATGATTATTTTACTCATGAGAAAAACAAATTTAAATTGTAGGAAATTTACCAAAGGCCATAAAAGAGACAGTGCTAAGATTTTAAGGTCCTTCAGCCTAAAAAGCGGCATCTTTTGTTTGTTTATTTTTTATTTCAACACATTTTCCTCAGTCATTATAGTAAAAGAGGAAAGGAATGGCATGTACAGAATGCTTTTCTTTATGATGTCCTAAGCTGGTCCCATTTTTTCCAATTAATTGGGTGCTTATATGTGTAACCTAGATATCAGCCAAAGTCATTCTATTCTTTGAGTTGAGAAATACGTAAAATTTTCCAGAGGTCTTTCTCCTACATCTTGCAAAAGGGCCACTGTGTTCCCAAGACTGTAGTTTCTCTTGGAAAATTCTGGCTTGGAGTTCCAACATAATGTCTTGGCTTGAACTTCTGGCTCTTACTCAGACTCAATTTCATTCTCATCTTTAGTCCCTCACCTACAGTTTCTGTTCCCTATTCATGGCCAAAGTTTGGATATTTGACCCTCCAAACCTCATTTTATAATCTGATTCCCAATGTAGGAGGTGGGGCCTGATGGGAGGTGTTTGGGCCATGGGAGGGGATCCCTCATGAATAGATTAATGTCCTCCTTGAGGAGGCAGGGGTGAGTAAGTGAGTTTTAACTCTATTAGTTCCCATAAGAGCTGATTGTTAAAAAGAGCCTGTCATCTCTCTCCTCTCTCTCTTGCATCCTCTCTCATGAAATGGTCTCTGATATACACACAAGCTCCCCTTTATCTTTCAGCACAAGGGGAAGCAGCCTGTGGCCCTCACCAGATGCAGATATCCAATCTTCCAGCAAACAGAATCGTGAGTCAAATAAAACTGTTTTCTATTCTCCAGCCTCTGGTATTCCTTTATAGTAATACCAAACCAAGACTTTTACCCACACATAAGACTTCTTGGTTTTCCCTCTAAAACATGCACATGAGAAGAATGTATGTCAGACTTGGAGAGATGGAGGGCGTTTAAATCACGGAAACATAAACAACACTGAATGTTCAATTTCCTTTGACTCCAGATTCCTTTAAGTCTCCTTGCCACTGGGAATCACTCACTTCCCTGTTTTATGCCCAACCTTGATTTTCCCTCTTGGTTGATTCCCTTTAATCCCCTTCAAAACTCTGCTAACATCTTTTCTCTAGAAGAGTCTTTAAAATTTTCATCCTTTTATCCTTAATTGATTTAGGGTCAAATTTTGTTGTTTCTTAACAATAAAATAGCTAGAAGAGAGGATTTGAATTTTTCTCACCACAAAAAAAAATGATACATGTTTGAGCCAATGGATGTCCTGAATACCCTGACTTGATCATTACACATCATGTACAGGTATCAAAATATCATATGTACATCATAAATATGTACAATTATTATGTATCAATAAAAAGTATAATAATAAAAACACAGGAAAGCAAGAAAGGAGAGGAGACGAGGACAACTTAGAATTTTAGAGAATGGGGTACTCAAGGACGTCAAAAAGAGAAATTTATTGGCAAGATCAAAAGTAAATTTGTTTCAGACATGCAATAAAGATACTGCATTACGTTTGAGTGCAGAAATCAGTCAGGCAGCTGGAAATACCAAAAGGAGATCCTAAGAGAGATCAGGACAAATGTAGATGTTCACACAGTGGTAATAGTTGAAGACAACATGGTGGAGTGTGTTTAAACATACAAAGAAAGAGTGGAGCATGGGGATGGGAATAAGTATAAGAGAGGAGATACAGGATTTGAAGAAATGGTTTTATTTAAAAGAAAGGACAAGGGGAAATGTAGAAATATAGGAAAACTAGGACGCTAAAACGCAGAGGAAGATGAGCAAAGAGAGATTTTTATACAGAAGAGGCAGGACAAGAGTGACAAATGTTCCTGGAAGTAAAGATCAACACTGTAAAGATGTCAATAAATTCCAGGATTAGGAGACCAGTAGTGTCATGAATAAAGGTAGTTTAAGTGAAGCAGTAAGAGATAAAAAGCAAATTTCAAGGAGTCAAGAAGCAAGGGTTACATAAATGAATAAAAAACTTCAATTGTGACATGTTTGAATTTTAAAAGGAAAAAAATTGTAAGAATCAAGGTAGATAAAAAGCTTATTTCAGTATATAGAAGACCTGAGTATTTTTTTAGGGAAAATGTACCCAGTAGAGAAGGAAAGATAAAAGATAATTCCCACACTACTCAACAGAGTCCGAGGATACAATGCTATTTGTCACTGAAACAATTTACCTAAACAGTATATGTGTGTGTGTATGCTTCTATAATTCAATGCATGTATACACACACACACACACACACACACACACACACACAACTGGCTATAGAACAGTGATAAACACTGATCTTTCCATGTTCTGAAAGCTTTTGTATACTCTAAGCCAGTATGTTTTAATGCTTCCAAATGGAAGTAATCTCAGCTACCACACCATTCTGAGATATGGCTTTTGTTTACTTAATGCAAACTCTTTCTCTGATATTTATTTTATATTCCAGAAAATACCAAATGTCTGGCCCACAGTTTGGACTAATAATGGCTAACAAAGTATGCTGGGGCTAGAACCACCACAAAGAGACAAAGAAAGAATGCTTGATGTAAACATGAAGATTTTGCAACAGTTCCAGGTACCATCAGGGAAATGACCAAATTAATAGAAAGTAATTAATGACAATTAAGAAGGGCTACAAAAACTTCACTGAAGCTAGAAAGGACTGACAACCAATTACATTAGTTGTAGCTGGAAAAAACTGTGGCTGACAGTTATGATTTCAAGAAATTTGGAGAAAACAGAAGATATTTTACCAACAGACTATTCTGGTAACAACTTCCAAAGAGGCTGTACCACAAGGACTTAACAGAGCACTGATTCGGTTGTACCTCCAATTCCAAAAGTGCATATTACAGGCTAAAAGGGATGGAACAAGTGCCCAGAGAAAGCTATGGATACAAACAAAAGAATTATCCCTGGAAAGGACAGATTTGTCCTTCTAATTTCTCACAGCACTAAAATAGACAACAATTTAGAGAAGTTTTGAGACGGAGAGTTGAACTGAGATCATAGGAACTGAGGCCATCTGTTAGACCTAGAGTAAGGAAAGAATTCGGGAAAGATTTGGAAAAATAAATAGATAAGTTTTAGAGCAGCATTTTAAGGGATACAGTAAGTAGACTTCTGCTTCTAAAAATGTGAACTATACACAGAGCATTTGTATCCTGAATCTCCACCAAATGACAATAAGGCAATAAAAAACGGCACAAGAGCAAAGTTAAGAGAAGAATAAGGAGAAGATCTGAGATTTTAATAAATAGTTGAAAGCTAGCAAGAAGAAGGATAATTGGAAATCCACTTAGAAATCTTTAGAAAGCTAAAACATACTCTTGCAATGGTAAAAATAAGAGGCACCATAAATGTTTCATTACAGCAAGTCTCAGGAATTTGAAGTACCAGATATTTCTAAGTATGGGCTTAAAACAAGAAGATTGGCTGAAAGTCATTTTTCAAAGGTGGTGGTCTCTCAGGTTGTCTCTACCACACAGTGCAGCAAGGTAATCCTCCTCCTCCTCAATCCAGCAGTGGGTTTTCAGGGTTGATGGCACCGTTGGAGCTTCCTGTTATATCAGAGGCAGCATGGTTTTGGGTCAGCTGAAGCAACAATGGCCTCACCAGGCCAGCTCTGCAGTGCTCCTACTCTGGAAGGTGTTTCTGAAAATTCAGCCATAGATATTGTTTGTCCATTTAATCCGTGAACTATCTGATACCCCTCAGTAAATTACTTCCTGGTTGAAGTAGCTACTAAGCTTAAAATATGTGCCTCTTAAGACCCAATAATTTCACCCTTAAGTATATACACAATAAAAATGAACATACCTGTATCTACCAAAAGACTTCTTTAAAAAAATGTTTATGGGGCCGGGCACAGTGGCTCATACCTGTAATCCCCATGTGTCCCGAATTGGTTCCTTCCAGTGGGTTCTTGGTCGTGCTGACTTCAAGAATGAAGCCGCGGTGAGCATTACAGTTCTTAAAGATAGTGTGTCCGGAGTTTGTTCCTTAGATGTTCAGATGTGTCCGCAGTTTCTTCCTTCCAGTGTGTTTGTGGTCTCGCTGACTTCAGGAGTGAAGCCGCAGACCTTCAAAATGAGTGTTACAGCTCTTAAAGATGGTGTGTCTGGAGTTTGTTCCTTCAGATGTTCAGATGTGTCCAGAGTTACTTCCTTCCAGTGGGTTCATGGTCTCACTGACTTCAGGAATGAAGCTGCAGACCTTCGCAGTGAGGGTTACAGCTCTTAAAGCTGGCGTGTCCAGAGTTGTTTGTTCCTCTGGGTGGGTTCGTGGTCTCGCTGACTTCAGGAATAAAGCTGCAGACCCACGTGGTGAGTGTTACAGCTCATAAAGGTAGTGTGGACCCAAAGAGTGAGCAGCAGCAAGACTTACTGTGAAGAGTGAAAGAACAAAGCTTCCACAGCTTGGAAGGGGACCGAGCAGATTGCTGCTGCTGGCTCAGGTGGCCAGTTTTTATTTCCTTATTTGGCTCTGCCCACATCCTACTCGTTGGTCCGTTTTACAGAGTGCTGATTGGTCCATTTTACAGAGTGCTGATTGGTACTTTTACAATCCTTTAGCTAAACACAGAGCACTGACTGGTGTGTTTTTACAGAGTGCTGATTGGTGCATTTACAATCCTTTAGTTAGACACAGAGTGCTGATTGGTGCATTTTTACAGAATGCTGGGTGCATTTAAAATCCTTTAGCTAGACACAGAGCACTGATTGGTGAGTTTACAATCCTTTAGCTACACAGAAAAGTTCTCCAAGTCCCCACCCGACCCAGAAGCCCAGCTGGCTTCACCTCTCACCAGCACTTTGGAAGGCCGAGGTGGGTGGATCACGAGGTCAGGAGATCGAGGCCATCCTGGCTAACACGGTGAAACACCATCTCTACTAAAATACAAAAAATTAGCCAGGCATGGTGGCGGGTGCCTGTAGTCCCAGCTACTTGGGAGGCTGAGGCAGGAGAATGGCTTGAGCCCAGGAGGCAGAGCTTGCAGTGAGCTGAGATTGTGCCACTGCACTCCAGCCTGGGCGACAGAGCAAGACTCTGTCTCAAAAAAAAAAAAAAAAAAAAAAAAAAAAAAAAAAAAAGAATGTTTATGGCAGCTCTATTTACAGGCAAAACCCAAAATGACCATACAAAAAAAAAAAATAGATAAATTACAATATCAATGGAATACCACACATCAATTTCAAATAAAAATACAAACTACCACTACACATAGCATGGAATAATCTCACTGACATTGCTGAGCAAAAGAAAACAAAAACAGAAAAAGACTTACCATATGAACCTATATATGGAAAGTTTAAAAACAGGCAAAACTAATCTCTGGTGATAAAAAGAATGGTGGTTACCTCAGTAGAGGGGTACAAGAGGCATGTAATAGGAAGAGGCAAAGAGTAGGCTTCCAGGCTGCTAAAGATGTTCTATGTCTTCACTGGGATGCTGGATACAGAGTAAACATACATAAAACTCCCCCAGGCTATGTTTATGTTATACCCGAATTTAGCAAGAAAGAAAAGAAGCAGAGGGAGGAAGAAAGGAAGGGAGAAAGGATAGAAAAAAGGGGGAGAGGAAGGAAGGGAAAGAGGGAGGAGGGGGAGGGAGAGAAACAGGAGGCAGGCAGGCTAGAGTGGATTCTGTTGCTGGCAATCAGAAGCTCTGATTCAAACAAGAGCAAATAAGAAATAAATAACAGGGATTAGATGGTCAGAATTTCTAGTGGGTTTAAATCTGTATTTTCTCCAGCAATGACCATAAGCTCTGAGGTAAAGTCGGAGGAAGAGGGCTAACATTGAGAGCACTTTTCACATGCCTTCTCATCTAAACCACACAATCACTCTGAAGAAGGTATTACTATCTTCACCTTTTAGAGTAGGTGATGGGGACAGAAATGTTACATCATTTGAAAATAAAGAGCTAATTAATAGAATTGAAATTTGATTCAAGTCAGCCTGACTTCACTGACCATGTTCTTTCCATAACTCTGCTCAGAGAAGTAGGAAGCCTGGGTTAGGAGTCTGGGAAAGCAGATGTCATGGAAGGTCAACAGGCCATAGTAGTCCAGGGAAAACTCTTTACTGGGTCCAATTCAGGTATAAGTTAAAACATCATCAGGAAACAAACTGGAAAATAAAGTTGAATTAAAGGTTCAGAGACCATAATTAATATGAAGAGCAGATGCAGTATGAAAGGGAAGAAGTCGTAGGATTAAAGCTTGGGGTCTAGGAGATAGAAGTTTCAAGAGTGATGAAACTATTCAACTGGTGGGTAACAGTTGAATATATGAATACTCAAAATACATTTTGCAAGTTTTTATCATTTCCAGATGATGGAAATGTAGCACAGGCCTACTTTTAGTCATAGTTTGTCGGTAATAAATCAAGAGGAATATGTCAGAAATTAGTCTCATGGCAATAAGAAACAGGACTGGTTCAGTGAACTCAAAGGTCAAAAACAACAAAATAATGTGAAATTAGTTAAGGACAACTTGCTAATGATGTGGACAAGCAGGTCAGTCTTTCAAATCCAATTCCATTTTATTTTGTAAAACCATATACCTATTTTATTTTATTTCTGCTTTTTGGTGTTTCTTTTTTTGGCTATTGCATAATTTGCTCCTTAAATGTAATGTTTGGGAAATGCCTAATAATTGTTCTGGTTTGGCCAATACTGGTCATTTCATTCTTTTTAGTTTTTTAACCACAAATAGAGAGGAGGCTGAAATCCTACAAGCTAAGAAAAAAGTATTCTAAATTTCTCTCTCTCCCAATTTCTTCCTCATTCTTCTCTCTTTTCCTACTATTTCTTTTTTATATGCATATAAATATGAGGAGAAACATTAAAAAAGAGGATAGAAAATTCCTTTGCAATGATGATAACAGTACTAGGAAAGGGATTTACTAATACTGAGTACTTACTACTTACTAAGTACTATTTACTATTGTTAGTGAGTCTTAATTTCAGGTCTAAATCTTTCCTAAATAAGAATCAATATATTACATGTTCATGCCATAACCGCTTTCCTTTTAGGTTTGTGTGTCAAAGTGATAGTCAAAATGCGGGTACACAGAACTCAGATATACTGCTATGGTGAAGCGGCTCGACACTTTCAAGTCTCTTACAATTGAGTCTTCTAGAAACTATGATGATATCAAACCTGTAGGTCATGAAGAGTCTACTACACTGAGCTTGCACACCACATCAGAAAATCAAATTTTCTGGGGAAGAACCCATCAAAATTCACGGAGTAATATTGCTGTCTTTTCCTGTATTTGAAATAAATGTTCTTCTCTAACATGTACTTGTGTCTTCCACGAACCAGAAATTTCACTCCACACCTCTGTGTTCATAGTTACTTACTAAAAAAATTTACTAAGTTTTAGATTTGTTTCCACAGTTAATATAAGATTTTGATTTTAATTTTTCTAGACTATCTTCCAGAAAGAGAAAGTATAATGACTGAGGAATTAAGAAAAATATGCTTTGTTTTTGTTCTCGTGTTTTAAGCAAAGCACAGGGAAACACTCATGTAAGCGGAGCACACATACTTAATTAACGGGAACCCCCATGACTTCGTAAGTGGAGATCTTGGAGGATGACTCACAGTTTTAGGCAGAGAACTCTTGCTAGAAGTCCAACATTTTGAAGACATCTCCATCACCTAGAAGCGTCCAGAGATAAAGAAATTACTATAGTGCCACATTGTGGTGAGTTCAAGAACAAATGTTAAAAATCTCTGCCTTTTAGCACAAATAAGCAAATAGAAAAGGAACCACTTCTATCAGATCAACTGGGGCTCTGACACTTAACATTTCTTTGTGGATATAAATCAAAGTGAAGCAAACATGTTAGTCTTTTTGCAAATGCTCAAGTGCTGTTTTTTAAAGACTTGTAAGAATTAAATCATCAAACAGACACCTAGAAACCCGAAACCTATGCAGGCTTCAGTGATGGCAGGGGATGGATATGAAAGAAACTTTTAGACAGCTGTTTGATATAATTGACTAGCAGATTTCTCCAGTTACTCATCACAGCAATATAACATTTTCCCACCCTTGAACACTGATGAAAAGATTTCTGTATTTATCTTTCCTGATCCAAGTCAAAGCGGGTAAGGGCAAGAAAAACCCAGGGGAGTGACTGAATTGTGAACCCTTGAGTTTGCAAACTGTCTGAGGCCACATGGGGCCATTCCCCACACATAGGTTAATTCTGAGCCTGAATTCAGGGTTTATTTCCAGGGCCTGAAGAAAGTGAACGTGAAGTAGTCTGGGAGTTCTAGAGGGCCACAATACAAAGAACAATGCTGGGTAATCGCAGTCCAAACTAGTTCATCTGTGGATGCTGTGGAGGCTCTACGCTAGGAATACACCCCTTTACCTGCCCAAATCCACTGCTTCTCAGGCTCACTCTGCATTGGGCCCTGTGGGAAGAGTCTTCAAAGGGCACTGAAGACACCAAGTGGGAGTGATTAAATGTTTCAAATTCATATCAAAACTTCAGATCTTTCATAAAGTCATCTTTAGCTTGGCTAAAAGAAGTTTCTGAAATATTTTCATATTAGCACTTATTCAGATTCCTTGAAGGCAGAAACTCTGTCTTATTCATTCTATATCCTTAGTACTCAACATAGGTTCTAATACAAAGTAGGCACTCTGTCACTGTTTGTTGATAGAGCAGTTATTGCAGGCATTTTACTAAATCCTTAAATGTAATATTCTGCCCAATACCACTGTCTCATTTTTTCACAGAATAAGATATTGATGCATATGCAGGTTGGTCAAAACATAATATAGTTCAGATAGATTCAAAAACTCTATAGAAATGCTTCTATTTGACCATTTCACCTGTCAAAATGATGCAAAAATGTGATTCAACTTAATAACGTCATTTGGTTTTATAGCATTTATATTTTTCAGGCATATCCATGTATAATGCCTAGTTATTACTGTGAGATAGGTTAAGTCTAGGAGCATGTCCACTTTATAGACAAAGCCCAAAAAGGTTAAGAGACTTCCCAAGGTTTCCCAGTGTTGCTGATAGGGCAAAGGTTAAAACCAGTTCTTTTCCTTCAGTTAGCTCATTCCATCGTCCTTGCCAACAGCCCTAGATGTAATATAAAATTCTTTTTCCCAGCCTTTTCAAATGCGATGCTCCTTGAATGGTCATCAGATTCTGTGTGATCATCATGTTGAAAAGGATGGCTGTCACTTTAAGAGCTGGTGGACCAAGATGCAGTTTGAACAATGAAAATGCTTTAAAAAAAAATACAGAGCAATAGGGAATGAGGCATTAAAGCCAAATCATTATTCAAACCATTTAACAGGCCAAAAGCCCCAAATTCCAACAAATTTTACAATCCCCCCACCTAAAAGTTGGAATCATTTTTAAAGAGGTTGCCAAGACACTTGTATTGTTACTATCAATTCACATGCTTGATAAGTTTCAAAAATTACATTATAAAAGATTTTCCACACCTATCCTCTGGGAAATTTTCAACTGCCCAATTTTATTTCTTGCCCATAGACAACTGGAGTTAATTTACATAAAATATTTCTCCAAGTCATAAACCATTTAAATATTTTTCCAGAAGTAATCTTACTGTTTTCTGTTAAAATATATATACATGTACACACACACATATGGAACAATGAATCTCAATGACATCTGGTTTTTTCAGGAAGGGACTTAATTCTTGAATAAGAATACAAATTATTTTCTTCAAAAAATCTGATTAAACCTCATGGAAGTAGGCATAGTGGAAACAAAAACCTAAATAAAGTCTTTTAGGATCAAAAAATCAAATAAATATGGAACTAATTAACAGTTCTTCACATTTTACTTAAATTGTAAGCTATTTTTACCCCCGCAAAGATTTAAATTAGTGATTACTTGAACTAATTTCCCCCAAATCTTGAGTTTGTATTTTGTTATGTCTAAAGGCTGTCAAACTCTAACCTAAGTTTTCAAAATAGACTTGTTCTGTGAATATTAGAAATCAAAATTTATGACTATTTTTAGGAAGAAACTTGAAATAGATATAGTATTTCCTAAAAAATACCCTAATACTCATTTCAAATTTCTTCCCCAAAGTCTAAAAGTACCACTGTGTCTTCTATGACAACTACATGTGCCAGGTAATTACATATGAAAATACCATCTCTTGAGAACAACTCTTCCATAAGCCACTCTTCTTAAATAGTCAATGGGGCCAGGTGCAGTGGCTCACACCTGTAATCCCAGTACTTTGGGAGGCCAAGGCAGGGGGATCACCTGAGGTCAGGAGTTGGCGACCAGCCTGACCAATATGAAGAAACCTCATCTCTACTAAAAATACAAAAATTAGCCAACTGTGGTGGCAGGCACCTATAGTCCCAGCTACTCGGTAGGATGAGACAGGAGAATTGCTTGAACCTGGGAGGCAGAGCTTGCAGTGAGTTGAGATGGCGCCATTGCACTCCAGGCTGGGCAACAGAGTGAGACTCCATCTCAAAAAAAAAAAAAAATAGTGGATCATATCCTGGGGCTACGGATGGAAGAAAAGGCAGGAGAAGCAAGCACCTTCTGAGCCACCTGGTGGCTCGATTCAGGGGACTTACTTTTATAAAACATTTGATTTGGACATTGATTTTGTATCCTGAGACTTTGCTGAAGTTGCTTATCAGCTTAACGAGATTTTGGGCTGAGACGATGGGGTTTTCTAGATATACAATCATGTCATCTGCAAACAGGGACAATTTGACTTCCTCTTTTCCTAATTAAATACCCTTTATCCTGCCTGATTCCCCTGGCCAGAATTTCCAACACTATGTTGAATAGGAGTGGTGAGAGAGGGCATCCCTGTCTTGTGTCAGTTTTCAAAGGGAATGCTTCCAGTTTTTGTCCATTCAGTATGATATGGGCTGTGGGTTTGTCATAAATAACTCTGATTATTTTGAGGTATGTCCCATCAATACCTAATTTATTGAGAATTTTTAGCATGAAGGGTTGTTGAATTTTGTCAAAGGCCTTTTCTGCATCTATTGAGACAATCGTGGTTTTTGTCATTGGTTCTGTTTATATGCTGGATTACGTTTATTGATTTGCATATGTTGAACCAGCCTTGCATCCCAGGGATGAAGCCCACTTGATCATGGTGGATAAGTTTTTGATGTGCTGCTGGATTTGGTTTGCCAGTATTTTACTGAGGATTTTTGCATCTATGTTCATTAGGGATATTGGTCTAAAATTCTCCTTTTTTGGTGTGTCTCTGCCAGGCTTTGGTATCAGGATGATGCTGGCCTCATAAAATGAGGTAGGGAGGATTCCCTCTTTTTCTATTGATTGGAATAGTTTCAGAAGGAATGGTACGAGTTCCTCCTTGTACCTCTGGTAGAATTCGGCTGTAAATCCGTCTGGTCCTGGACTTTTTTGGTTGGTAAGCTATTAATTATTGCCTCAATTTCAGAGCCTGTTATTGCTCTGTTCAGAGATTCAACTTCTCTCTAGTTTAGTCTTGGGAGGGTGTATGTGTCCAGGAATTTATCCATTTCTTCTAGATTTTCTAGTTTATTGCATAGAGGTGTTTATAGTATTCTCTGATGGTAGTTTGTATTTCTGTGGGATCGGTGGTGATATCCCCTTTATCATTTTTTATTGCGTCTATTTGATTCTTCTCTCTTTTCTTCTTTATTAGTCTTGCTAGCAGTCTATCCATTTTGTTGATCTTTTCAAAAAACCAGCTCCTGGATTCATTGATTTTTTGAAGGGATTTTTTGTCTTTATCTCCTTCAGTTCTGTTCTGATCTTAGTTATTTCTTGCCTTCTGCTAGCTTTTGAATGTGTTTGCTCTTGCTTCTCTAGTTCTTTTAATTGTGATGTTAGGGTGTCAATTTTAGATCTTTCCTGCTTTCTCTTGTGGGCATTCAGTGCTATAATTCCCTCTACACACTGCTTTAAATGTGTCCCAGAGATTACGGTATGTTGTGTCTTTGTTCTCTTTGGTTTCAAAGAACATCTTTATTTCTGCCTTCATTTCATTATGTACCCAGTAGTCATTCATGAGCAGGTTGTTCAGTTTCCATGTAGTTGAGCAGTTTTGAGTGATTTTCTTAATCCTGAGTTCTAGCTGGATTGCACTGTGGTCTGAGAGACAGTTTGTTATAATTTCTGTTCTTTTACATTTGCTGAGGAGTGCTTTACTTCCAACTATGAGGTCACTTTTGGAATAGGTGTGGTGTGGTGCTGAGAAGAATGCCTATTCTGTTGATTTGGGGTTGAGAGAGTTCTGTAGATGTTTATTAGGTCCACTTGGTGCAGAGCTGAGTTCAATTCCTGGTTATCCTTGTTAACTTTCTGTCTTGTTGATCTGTCTAGTGTTGACAGTGGGGTGTTAAAGTCTCCCATTATTATTGTGTGGGAGTCTAAGTCTCTTTGTAGGTCTCTAAGGACTTGCTTTATGAATCTGGGTGCTCCTGTATTGGGTGCATATATATTTAGGATAGTTAGCTCTTCTTGTTGAATTGATCCCTTTACCATTATGTAATGGCCTTCTTTGTCTCTTTTGATCTTTGTTGGTTTAAAGTCTGTTTTATCGGAGACTAGGATTGCAACCCCTGCCTTTTTTTGTTTTCCATTTGCTTGGTAGATCTTCCTCCATCCCTTTATTTTGAGCCTATGTGTGTCTCTGCAGGTGAGATAGGTTCCCTGAATACAGCACACTGATAGGTCTTGACTCTTTATACAATTTGCCAGTCTGTGTCTTCTAATTGGAGCATTTAGTCCATTTACATTTAAGGTTAATATTGTTATGTGTGAATTTGATCCTGTCATTATGATGTTAACTGGTTATTTTGCTCGTTAGTTTATGCAGTTTCTTCCTAGCCTCGATGGTCTTTACAATTTGGCATGTTTTTGCAGTGGCTGGCACTGGTTCTTCCTTTCCATGTTTAAATCACAAGCATTCTTATACACCAATAACAGACAAACAGAGAGCCAAATCATGAGTGAACTCCCATTCACAACTGCTTCAAAGAGAATAAAATACCTAGGAATCCAACTTACAAGGGATGTGAAGGACCTCTTCAAGGAGAACTACAAACCACTCCTCAATGAAATAAAAGAGAATACAAACAAATGGAAGAACATTCCATGTTCATGGGTAGGAAGAATCAATATCTTGAAAATGGCCATACTGCCCAAGGTAATTTATAGATTCAATGCCATCCCCATCAAGCTACCAGTGACTTTCTTCACAGAATTGGGAAAAACTACTTTAAAGTTCATATGGAACCAAGAAAGAGCCCGCATTGCCAAGTCAATCCTAAGCCAAAAGAACAAAGCCGGAGGCATCACACTACCTGACTTCAAACTATACTACAAGGCTACAGTAACCAAAACAGCATGGTACTGGTACCAAAACAGAGATATAGACCAACGGAACAGAACAGAGCCCTCAGAAATAATGCCGCATATCTGCAACTATCTGATCTTTGACAAACCTGACAAAAACAAGAAATGGGGAAAAGATTCCCTATTTAATAAATGGTGCTGGGAAAACTGGCTAGCCATATGTAGAAAGCTGAAACTGGATCCCTTCCTTACACCTTATACAAAACTTAATTCAAGATGGATTAAAGACTTACATGTTAGACCTAAAACCATAAAAACCCTAGAAGAAAACCTAGACAATGCCATTCAGGACATAGGCATGGGCATGGACTTCATGTCTAAAACACCAAAAGCAATGGCAACAAAAGCCAAAATTGACAAATGAGATCTAATTAAACTAAAGAGCTTCTGCACATCTAAAGAAACTACCATCAGAGTGAACAGGCAACCTAAAGAATGGGAGAAAATTTTTGCAATCTACTCATCTGACAAAGGGCTAATATCCAGAATCTACAAAGAACTCAAACTTAAAAGAAAAAAACAAACAACCCCATCAACAAGTGGGCGAAGGATATGAACAGACACTTCTCAACAGAAGACATTTATGTAGCCAAAAGACACATGAAAAAATGCTCATCATCACTGGCCATCAGAGAAATGCAAATCAAAACCACAATGAGATACCATCTCATGCCAGTTAGAATGGCGATCATTAATAAGTCAGGAATCAACAGGTGCTGGAGAGGATGTGGAGAAATAGGAACACTTTTACACTGTTGGTGGGACTGTAAACTAGTTCAACCATTGTGGAAGTCAGTGTGGTGATTCCTCAGGGATCTAGAACTGGAAATACCATTTGACCCAGCCATCCCATTACTGGGTATATACCCAAAGGATTATAATTTGTGTTGCTATAAAGACACATGCACATGTATGTTTATTGTGGCACTATTCACAATAGCAAAGACTTGGAATCAACCCAAATGTCCAACAATGATAGACTGGATTAAGAAAATGTGGCATATATACACCATGGAATACCATGCAGCCATAAAAAAGGATGAGTTCATATCCTTTGTAGAGATATGGATGAAGCTGGAAACCATCCTTCTAAGCAAACTATCACAAGGACAAAAAACCAAACACCGCATGTTCTCACTCATAGGTGGGAATTGAACAACGAGAACACATGGACACAGGAAGGCGAACATCACACACCAGGGCCTGTTGTGGGGTGGGGGAGGGGGGAGGGATAGCATTAGGAGATATACCTAATGTTAAATGACGAGTTGACGGATGCAGCACACCAACATGGCACATGTATACATATGTAACAACCCTGCACGTTGTGCACATGTACCCTAAAACTTAAAGTATAATAAAAAAAAAATTTGATTTGGAATATACAATTGGAAGATATTTCAGCTCTAAAGGAAAAGTGCCACAGCTTCCTTTTTCTGAGGACAAAAAGGTGAGAATTGAGGGGTTGCCACGTGGGCAAGTGGACAGCCAAGCAGCAAGCCGCTTCTGTGTGCACTGTGGCAATACTTGAAAGTTCTGCCATCATCTTGGGGTCTGCATTGTTGCTGCAAAAGTGACTGTTTCCATTGTGTTGCTTTATTTTGCTTTTAAAAAGCGGTATTCCAGTTACCATGTGCTTCACAGTTCTCTCACTCATCCTGTTCCACACTGAAATCTTGATACTTATGCATCTCTGGGAGTGGAGCTAATTACATACAATCTACATGGAATCACCAAATTTTCAGAATTACCCCAGGTGGTACAACATGCTAGCAACTATGTGGACATAGAAAATAACTTTCTACTATCAATCGGCTTTCCTCCTGCCCCATTGTAATGTATGGCACTGAGGAGTTAACATGGCATCCTGATTGGAGCAGGGGGCAGAGGGACAGGGGAGAGAAGGAGGTGCTAATACTCCCCTTTCACTTCATTCCTATTCTTTTCAGGGTCTGCCTATCCTCACATAAGCCAATCCATTCTCCATCTCCTTTAAGCAGACATATACTGCCTCGTAAGTATAGGATGCCTTGTAGTAACTTACCATATGTGAGTGTTTGTATGTATGCATATGTTTGCTTCATTCACTTAAAAATATTTATTGATTATCTTTCATAAATATGTTAGACACACTCTAGGCAATGGAGATACAAAAATGAAAAAGAAATACAAGGTCTCTGCTCCCACAGAGCTTGTATACTCATAGAAGGAGACAGATAATAAGCAAGGGGAAAAATAAGCAAGATAATTTCAGAGACTGTAATTAAGCCATTTAATTTACACTGTGCTATGATTTCTCAGGAATCGTTTTACATACAAATAAAAAATCTAACCTACAAATTGTTTTCATATGTAATGAAGTTTTTATGAATAAAATTTAAAAGATTAATAAGACTGACATGTTACAGTATATAAATACTTATTTAAACTTTTTTTTTCATTTTGCAACTTCTTTTTTATATTTTGGAGCCATTAGTTCCTTTTCCTTGTCACAAACATTTACGTGGGCTCCTTAAAAGAACCTAGAGCTTTGGCACTGTGTTCACAGAGCCCAGTGAATAAGCAGACTTTTCTTGCAGGTTATATCAAGGTCCGTACTACATACTGAGATTTACTACATACCAGAGAATCTCAACCTTCTTTCTAACACAGGGACTCATCAGAAATCATAAAGTGGTTGGTGCTTACTGAAATAAGTATATATATGGAAAGCCCCTAATGGGAATAGATCCCACTACTGAAATTGGATTGAAAATTACTGCACTATACATAATGACTGCAATTTTATAGTGACTTTCGTTAAAGTGTTATTTTTTCTTTTTTACTTACACGTTAATCAGTGTTGAAAGGTTAACTTGTAGCATGTTAAACTGTTGCTTCAGCAAGGGAGAACAGTTCATGATGTTGCACAGGAAATGCCATGACTATCACAGAACTACCAGTAGGAGAATTTATTTTCAGTGATACTTCCTACTAAAAGTAGTTTAAACTTATTACTTATCACAACAGCACTCAGAAAAAATCAAAGAAGGTAGACACCCAGGAAGAAACACAGAACACTTAAAAGGCCACAGGTTAGTTCAGAAAGATAAATCAGCTGTTTGGTTCTAGAATGAGTGACGCGCTAGCTGTGAGACTCTGGATAAGTTACTTGACATCTCTGAGTCTCAGTTTGCATATCTGTAAAATGAGGATAAATTATCATTTTAATTCATGGAGTTGTGGTCACTAAGTGAAGTGACACATGTAAGCACTCTGCCCAGTGTCTGCCCCAATAGCTCAGTGAATGTTAGCTGTTAGCAGAGAGAGTGGCAGCCCTGAGCAGAAAGCAAAGTCTTTTGGGGACCAAAGAACAAAGTACGTAGTTGGCTTTTTGCAGAGTATATTATTTAGAAATTCTGATATCAAAACTTAGTATTTGGAATAAATCTTGAGAAAAATGTAGGACCTGACAATGTTTTTCATAACTAATAATTAGAATTGTAAAAAAAAAAAAGTAAGAAACTCAGAAATGACTTACGTTTGAGAAAGACAGGAAAAAGTGCAGTCTGGTTTCTTTTACATTAATTATTTATAGAGCAGAAAATGAAAATGGTTATCTAAGCCATCAAGATATCAGAACACCCCTGGGTATATGTTAATTAACAGAATTCTAACATGCATGTAGTTGTCATTCATTCTCAACTAATCCTTACGATGTTTCTTTAAAGGTTTGATTCAAAAATTTCTTCATGTTATTATAATTGACAGAAGCTTGGCCTGAATAAAAACTTCTTGGTACCCAGGTGGCTCTGGCATCAACCGGGCAGGTTTTTAGCTGGCCCTACTGCAATCACTTTATACAGTCCTTCTATACTTGTCATCCTTTTTCATCTGTTCATTTTACAGACGAGGAAACTGACATCCAGTAAAAGATCAACATTAAACATAAGCCTGGTAGCAGAACCATAACAGAACCCTGCACTCATGATGCCTTCTGAGGACTCTGCCCATCTTCCTTGATTAACTCCAGAATACAGAAGCAACCCTAAAAATGCAAGCAAACATCCTGAAGAAGTCAGGAATGGATTTTTCTAAGGTTATGTATGACTTCATGAATGTCAGTCAGGATAGACCACAACTTCAAGCTACATGGGAAGATTATGACTCTTTTTTTTTTTTTTTTTTTTTTGATATGGAGTCTCACTGCACCCAGGCTGGAGTGCAGTGTCGTGATCTCGGTTCACTGCAAGCTCCGCCTCCCAGGTTTATGCCATTCTCCTGCCTCAGCCTCCCGAGTAGCTGCGACTATAGGTGCCCGCCACCACGCCCAGCTAATTTTTTGTATTTTTAGTAGAGATGGGGTTTCACCGTGTTAGCCAGGATGGTCTAGATCTCCTGACCTTGTGATCCACCCGCCTCAGCCTCCCAAGATTATGACTCTTGAAAAACAGACTTCAGAGCATCATACATTGAACCTACCTGAAAACTGGGTGTGTACTTCCAGACAGGTCTGGGAAGCCATCCAGACATTCATGTACATTTTTTATGTGTCAGCTGTTGCATGAGTATTTTGAGAAGCAGTTTTTGAGAAGTCACAGCAGGAATCTAGCTTTTGTGTTCTGAAGTACCAGCTTTATTGCAGCTCAAACAAAAATAAAAAGGAAACAGTGTCATTACCCGGCAGGTTTTTCAGTACAGTTCCAGCAGGGTTCTCTCTTTTCTAGCTCCAACATGCTTACCTCCCCAGCCTTGTGAAAAAGAATCTATCTTGGCAGAACCTGAACCAAATATGAAACACAGTTTCAACATTTTCCTGCCATTTTTCCTGGGAAGTACTTTCATCAGAACATTTTGATTTGCTGAGAACATGTGTACCTCTTCTTTTGAGAGACAGAACATTCTTTAATTTGGTGACCTCAAGAGGCTTTTTACCTTCAACTGGAGGTGGGGAGGGGGGAAATGCAACTCCAATGGATAGGTAATTGTACCTCTCAGCCACACACTTTCTTGCTGAGCTATATAATGGTTCATGAGCTCTTAACTGAGACTTATAAAAGTGTTCTCAATTGTTAGTTCAAGGTCTGTAGCCAGCTTAGAAATTGTTAAAATGTACAAAATAAATGAGAAAAAAACAGCAAGGAAAGAAATTCTAGGTCATGCTTTTATGAGCTGCTTGACAAAAAAAAAGCAGGTTTTTTCAGAGGATGGGAACAATTTCAATGTTCAGTTTTCTATACCAGTGGGATTGTGAGGCACAATATGTACATCTCTGGTGCAGGTGAGTCAATGATTAAAGAGAGTTTAATTCTAGGCCCCATCATGTGTCAATATAGTAAATGGTATGGGATCCTGCCAAATACCAGAAATCCTATATTGTATAATTCAGTTAAATCTCCACATTGTATTCTCCTTTGTGATAATGAGTTAGGAAAAGGCTTTTGAGTTGAGGTAAGAGACAGGAAACAAAGTGATGATACAGCAGGAGTATATTAAATTTTCAGAAGAGTTCCAAAATATCTTACATAAACTTGAGGAAAAATATTGTAGTGCCCATAGAAAATGACATACATGAGTGAGATGATGGTGCCAGGTCAAGATGTTTTGCTGTGCTAGGGCACAGAGTCATCACCAGTGTTGTGCAGTATGCAACATGGTTCTCCCATGTCTCTAGGGTGTCTCTGCCTTAAACAGCAATAACACAAGCCCTCATATGCTGAACCTCCGAGTGACACAACACAGGCCATCTTCCTGGACTTGAATTAGTCTTGTTTTTTACTGCGCATTTTTAAAATGACCTCATTATTGAAGAGTAATATCTGTATGATAATGGATTCATGCCAAAAATAATTATCTCCAAGGTCTTAAAGTTAGATACTAACTTAAATATTAGACTCCCAATGTGGAGTCTAATATTTGCCCAACCAAAACATTGCTGTCACTCTGAATCTCTTCTTTCCACCCCTTCTAGTTGCTTGACTTTTTCTGATTAACTTCTAGTCATCTCCCAGATCTCAGCCCAAACATCACTTTCTCAGAGAAGCCTTCTCTGACATGGTCTTGATGGAGTTGAGTCTCTGTAATATACTCTTTCTAGCCCCATATAGCACATGTCACAGTTGATTATATTTGTATGAGTATGGGACTAATGGCTGTCTCCCATCATCTCCTCAGAGCTACCACAGTGTCCAGCTTTGTAGCAGATCTTAAAAGGATGTTGGTTAATCAATGAATAAATGTATCATGAATAGACAAGCAAGTTGAAGGAATAGAATAGAGAAACTGGAGTGGATGTACTTCCTACTGGGAGGAGAGGAAGAAGCCAACAATCTTGACTTTATTTTTAGATAGAAAACAAACCACCCTATCATAACTTTCACAAGCTACGTGGAAAATTCAGCAAAATCGTTTTCTCTTTCCACTTTACTGAACTTATGAGGCATGTTGCCACTTTTCTGCCCCTCTTAACATTGAGCACCATGCTCATCATTAAAACACACACACACTATATCAAGAAATGTAAGCCATATCTGATACGTGGGATGATTATTATGTAATTGAGATGAATAGATCCCTGAGAGAGATACAGAGAGAAATGAGACAGCTGAGGCAGACACAGGGCCTACAGGCCTTCTCCTAGGGTGTCTCCGCCATAAGCAGCAATAACACAAGCCCTCATATGCTGAACCTCCCAGTGACACAACACAGGCCCTCCTCCTGGACCTGCATTATCCCAGTTTTTTACTGCATGTTTTTAAAATGACCTCATTATTGAAGAGTTATATCTGTATGATAATGGATTCATGCCAAAAATAATCATCTCCAAGGTCTTAAAGTTAGATACTAAATGCAAATGGTAAAAACTGCCCTCTTTCTCTCCGATTCATTTTACTGCTCACTCCACCCTTTCCTCACACTCTTATTATCTTTCCTAAAAAGAAAAAAACTTTTTTTTCTCCAAGTTAGGATTCCTTGTTTCATTGCTTTACCCAGTGAGAAAAAGCTCAGGACTACATTCATGGCTATTCCCAGAGCCATTCTGCAATTCTTTCAACCATCACCTCTCCCATTTCCCCAGTGGCACAAGGCTTACCCATTCCCTCCATCAGCTGCCTAGAGAAGACTGCAAGTGAGAGGAGATCACAATGGCAATAACGGGAAGCAGTCAATATCAAGGAGTCCCAGTGATACTAGTAAAAACAGACATGGCCGATCCACAAGTCAGCAGTGAGAGTCTACACATTGATCTAGCTCTTGAAATGGGAAATACTGGTATAGTATATCACTTACGGAGGTCTGATTTAATGCTCATTTAAGTGAGCCACCCACTCCCTGCTTCTCTTTTGGGTCTCCTTTGCAAAATCGTTTGTAAAATAAAGGACATAATATCACGATTCTCAACTTCTTCACATATATGTAGCATTGCATTATGAATAACCATACAATTTCAGTACTCTATTTAAATTATTATGTGTTACATTCCCTCCTGTTTCCTTTTTTCCTACAGACTCTGTATAGGCATACCTCGAAGATATTGTGGGTTGGATCCAGACTACTACAATAAAGAGAGTATAATAATAAGTTAAGTCACATAAATTTTTTATTTACTTATATATACACTATATTGTAGTCTATTAAGTATGCAATAGCATTATGTCTTAAAATTTGTGTATATCTTAATTTAAAGATATTTTATTGTGAAAAATGCTAACAATCATCTTGAGCCTTCAGTGAGTTATAATCTTTTGGCTGATGGAGCATCTTACCTCAATTGTGGTGACTGTTGGCAGAGTGGTGGTTGCTGAAGGATGGGGTGGCTATGGCAATTTCTTAAAATAAAACAATGAACTTTGGTGTATCTGTCAACACTTCCTTTCAGAAGAGTTTTCTGTAGCCTATGATGCTGTTTAACAGCATTTTACTATCAGTAGAACCTCCTTCAAAATTGGAGTCAATCTTCTCCAACCCTGTTGCTGCCTAATCAACCATGTTTATGTAACATTCTAAATTCTTTGCTGTTATTTCAACAATGTTCACAGGGCCGGGCACGGTGGCTCACGCCTGTAATCCCAGCACTTTGGGAGGCTTAGGTGGGCAGATCACGAGGTCAGGAGATCAAGACCATCCTGGATAACACGGTGAAACCCCGTCTCTACTAAAAATACAAAAAAATAGCCGGGCATGCTGGCAGGTGCCTGTAGTCCCAGCTACTCAGGAGGCTGAGGCAGGAGAATACTGTGAACCCAGGAGGCGGGGTTTGCAGTGAGCCAAGATCGCACCACTGCACTCCAGCCTGGGTAACAGAGCGAGACTCTGTCTCAAAAAAAAAAAAAAAAAAAAAAACAAGGTTCACAGCATCTTCACCAAGAACAGATTCCCTCGCAAAAAAACACTTTCTGGCCAGTTGCAGTAGTTGCTGTAATCCCAGCAATTTGGGAGGCCAAAATGAGATGGTCACTTGAGCCCAGGAGTTTGAGACCAGCCTGGGCAACATAGGGAAACACTCTCTCTCCAAAAAAAAAAAAAAAAAAATCAATTTGCTGGGAATGATGGTGCATACCTATAGTCCCAGCTACTCAGGAGGCTGAGGTGGGAGGATTGCTTGAGCCCAGAAGGTCAAGCTACAGTGAGATGTTATTGTGCCACTGCACTCCAGTTTGGGCAACATAGTGAGACCTTGTCTCAAAAATTAAAAAAAAAAAAAAAAAAAAAAGGAAAAGAAAAAAGAAACCACTTTATTTGTGCATCCATAAGAAGCAACTCCTCATCACTCATCCATCCGAGTTCTATCATGAGATTGCAGCAATTCAGTCCCATCTTCAGGCTTCACTTATAATTGTAGTTCTCTTGCTATTTCTACCATATCTGCAGTTACTTCCTCCATTGAAGTCTTCAACTCCCCAAAGTTATCCATAAGAGTGATAATCGACTTCTTTCAAACTCCTGTTAATGTTCATATTTTGACTTCCTCTTATGAATCACAAATGTTCTTAATGGCATTTAAAATGGTGAATCCTTTCCAGGAGGTTTTCAACTCACTTTGCCAAGACCTATCAGAGGAATTAATAAAATATAAAATATAAAAATAACATCAATGTCCTTGCACATGTCCATCAGAGCCCTTGGATGACCAATTCATTATCAATGAGCAGTAATATTTTGGAAATAATCTTTTTTTCTGAACATTAGGTCTCCACAGCGGGCTTAAAATTTTTAGTAAACAGTCTGTAAAAAGACTTGCTGTCGCCCAAGCTGTGTTGTTCTATTTATAGAGAACAAGCAGAGTAGGTATAGTATAATTCCTAAGGAACTTAGGATTTCCAGAACGATCAATGAATATTGGCTTCAACTTGAAGTTGCCAGCTTCATTGGCCCCTAACAAGAGAGTCAGCCTGCCCCTTAAAGCTTTGAAGTCAGGCATTGACTTCTCCTCTCTAGCTATGAAAGTCCTAGATGGCATCTTCTTCCAATAGAAGGCTGTTTGTCTATATTGAAAGTCTGTTGTTTAACATAGCCACCTTTGTCAATTATCTTAGCTTGATCTCTGGATAACTTGCTTCAGCTTCTCCATCAGCACTCACTGCTTCACCTTGCACTTTTATATTATGAAGATGGCCTCTTTCCTTAAACCCCATGAACCCACCTTTGCCAATTTTAAATTTTCTTCTGTAGCTTCCTCACTTCTCTCAGCCTTCAAAGAACTGCACAGAGGTATGGCCTTGCTCTGGATTAGGCTTTGGCTTTAGGGAATGTTGTGACTTGTTTGATCTTTTATCCAGACCACTAAAACTTTCTCTGTATCAGCAATGAAACTATTTCACTTTCTTATCATTTGTGTGTTCGCTGAAGTAGCACTTTTAATTTTCTTTGAGAACTTTTCCTTTGCATTCACAACGGTTTGGCTCAAGAGGCTTAGCTTTCAGCCTACCTTGGCTTTCCACATGTCTTCCTCACTAATTTCAATCATTTCTAACTTTTGACTGAAAGTGAGAGATGTGCCACTCTTCATTTCACTTTAACACTTAGAGGACATTGTAGGGTTATTAATTGGTCTAATTTCAATATTGTTGTGTCCCAGGGAATAGGGAGGCCTGAAGAAAGGGAGAGAGATGAGGGAATGGCCAATTGGTGGAGCAATTAGAATGCCCATATTTACTTACTGAGTTTCCTGTCTTATATGGGCACAATTTGTGACACCCCAGGACAGTTATAATGGTAACATCAGAGATTGCTGATTACAGATCTGCAAAACAGATATAATAACAAGATTTGAAATATTGCAAGAATTACCAAAATGTAACAGATTGAAGTAAAGTGAGCACCTGCTCTTGGAAAAATGGTACCAATAGACTTGCTTGATGCAGTGTTGCCACAAACCTTCTATTTTTTAAAAATGCAATATTTGCACAAAGCACAATAAAGTGAAGTGCAATAAAATGAAGTATGCCTGTAATTGTCATATGTGTTCCAAAGCCCTATCTAAACCATTCATAGTGATAACAATCCAAAATATTTTTAGAATCTCCAGAAAACTTGATTCATTCT
This sequence comes from Homo sapiens, assembly GCF_000001405.40. Taxonomy (NCBI): domain Eukaryota; kingdom Metazoa; phylum Chordata; class Mammalia; order Primates; family Hominidae; genus Homo; species Homo sapiens. The sequence continues at coordinate 153,943,571 of NC_000003.12, forward strand.
CTACATTTTAGAATCACAATTATATCTAGAATGTATCTTGAATATTATCTGCAATCTTTATTTACAATACTCTCTTGTTCATTTATTTATTTATCTGATTTTTTTCAGTAAACAGAATATTCAATCCTAAGAGTCATGAAAACCTCAAGTTTGAGCTCTACTCTAGTTGGTTGTATGACTTTAAAAGTAGTACTTTATATCTCAGTAATTAAATTTTATACTCTATAAAATTAAGGGTTTAGTCCAATGCATTTTAAAGGTCCCTTCCAGTTTCAATGTTTAAGATTTAATAATTACAATAATTGTTTACATTAATGAGTGCCAGCCATTCTACTTAGCACCTAACATAATTTACCTCATTCAATCTTCCTAAAGCTCTATGAAATAAGTGCTATTATTATTGATATTTTACCAATGAGAAGACTGAGGCACAGGGAAGTTACATAACTTTCCTGAAACCATTCAACAGAAAGCATAAAGCTGGATGGAAATCCAAGTATGACTTATTCTACTCTGAACAACATCTAAATCAAAGGGCAGGTGAGTAGAGATAAAAAGTTACCCCAAATGTTAAATTCAGTCACTTCAGAAAATTTCAGAATGCTTGGCAGCAACTCTAGCTATGAATTGCTAAATCACAAAGCAACAGGAAAAATATTTCCTGTCTCCAGCTATCCCTCCCTCCTAAGCTGTATTCCATCAGCACATCAGCACGTCTCCCCACAGACTCTCCCCAACCACGTGCACCAGTTCTACCTAAATATACAGGCACATGTGTGCTCACATACACACACACACACACACATACACTGCTGGAAGAAGGATATCTACCTACTAAGTCTATCTTAAAACACAGAATGATATTTTATATGGCAATCTTTATATAATAAGATTAGTGTGTTTGAAATTGGATTTTTATAAAGATAACGGAGCTTTTTATTTCATTTACATGGAAACACCTACAAAGACAGTCACACACATACAAAGTCACTGGCCTCAAACTATTTTACCCACTTTTTTATTAACAGAAAAATTTTCTCTTTAAATTAGTTTTGCTTAAGATAGCAATGGAGAAGAAACAAAAAGACACTCAACCTGATAACAACAATTAAACAGGATATTGAGCTAAAATTTGAATGATCCTTATTTTGATCCCTGGCTAATCAAATTTTGAAAGCATTCTCCATAGCCTGTAGGAGTGTTTCAACTACAACATGTTCTAATGTTCTTCAGCATGTTATTCCTTCATAAAACTGAAAAATATAGGAAAAAGTGTGCATCAGTTCTTAGTCACTAGTGTAAGCATAATGTAGCCATTAGTTAGAGAGCATATTCTAGTTAGTTTGTGGTAGCAATTCTTCAGTTAACCTATTAACATACTCCAATTTTATTTAAGTAGTTTCAAATTTAAAGAAAAATAAAGAATATTTGATATTTTAATGAAATGATGTATTTAGTTGTGCCCATCTGTACAAAAAAATACAAAATATTAGTCAGGCATGGTAGCACACACCGATAGTACTAGCTACTTAGGAGGCTGAGGCAGAAGGATTGCTTGAGTCCAGGAGTTCAAGGCTACTGTGAGCTATGATAGTGCCACTGCAATCCAACTGAGTAACAGAATGAGTTGCTATTTCAAAACAGAAATTTTCTTTTGGTAGCTGTCTCCTTGGAAAATACATGAGTAATTAATAGAGAATTATATACCTAAATAATAATAGAAAAATATTGAAGAAATACATACATATATATTATATATGCAAATTAAATAAAACATATGCAAATATTTTTAAATTGAATATTTATCATAACTTTAGAGGAGAATGCTAAGTTTAAACATCATGCAACAACTTCAGGAAATAAAAGTGCAGGAATTCTACTTTGAAAAACAGTGTGCTAGGTTGGACCAACCATCCTACTGAGAACAACTAGAAAAACTGAATAAAATACAAAAACATATTCTCAAAAAAATGAAGAAGTTTAAAAATAGTGAAGAATTACCTGCTTAAGATCTTGGAAGACTATGAAATTCAGAGAGTTAAGCCTGTCATTTTTGGGCTCAAATAACACTGGTAGCTGAAAGACTGGCATCTTTGACAGTCCTATAATGTTAGGAACCAAAGGTTGAGGTACAATAGCAAAGGATGTTGGTCCTTATAAAACACCACCCTTTAGGTAGGAATCCTGAAAGGACGTACCCTAATGGTAATAATGAACCAAAAATAAACAAGTAAAGATGAACTACAGACCAGCTTTGCATCACTCAGATAGCTCAGCAAATCTTGTTCCTCAAAATTGAATTCTAAAAATCTTTAATTTTCATTGAACTGAAGCTAAAAAAGTCAGATAAAATGTTTCTCTCTGTATGAAGATAATATTATCCTAGGCCTTTAAATTTTTACAAATTTTAAAATACCTTGTTAAGTCTACCATCAAAAATAACTAGGTACGTGTATAGAAAAGGCAACATGAATGAGAAATAATAAAAATAACAGATAAAATAAATATACCTAGAGGGGTTTCATGTATTAGAATTATCTGTCACAGACTTTAAAATGAGTGATATGGTTTGGCTCTGTGCCCCCCCAACCCAAATCTCATCTCAAATTATAAACCCTGTAATCCCCACATGTTGAGGGAGGGACCTAGTGGGAGGTGGTTGGATCATGGGGGTGGTTCCCTCATGCTGTTCTCATGATAGTGAGAGGTTTCTCACGACAGCTGATAGTTTTAGAAGTGTTTGACAGTTCCTTCTTCCTGAACTTGCTCTCTTGCCTGCCACCATGTAAGACGTGCTTGCTTCCTCTTCTGCCATGGCTGTAAGTTTTCTGAGGCCTCCCCAGGCATATGGAACTATGAGTCAATTAAACCTCTTTTCTTTATAAATTACCTAGTCTTGGGCAGTTCTTTACAGTAGTGTGAAAATGGACTAATACAATAACTGTACTTATAACAGCATAAAACAAATTGTAGCAAGAATTAATTATTAAAACATTGCATAGTCAATGTGAAAAAGAATAAAATGGAGGCCCTATAATCAAAAACTGTAATGGAAATTAAGAACTCAGTGCCTGGTTTCAGTAGTAGATTAGACTTGGATGAAGGCAATATTAGTGAACAGGAAGAGAGCTCAGAAGAAAATATTTAGAAAGGAGTAAAGAATGGAAAATATAGGAAAGTGCCTGAGACATAGAGGACATAGTAAAAACATGTTACATATAGTAACTGTTGTTTCCAAAGGAAAGCAAAAAAAAAAAAGAATAGGTCAGAAATTACATTTGGAATTACAGCTAGATAGGAGAGATGAATTATAGTGTTCTGCAGCACTTAGGGTAAATATGGTTAACTATAATGTATTGCAAATTTTTGAAAAGCATTAAGAAGAGAGGATTTTGAGTGTTCACAGTGCAAAGAAATGATTAATGCTTGAGGTGACAGATATGTTAATTATCCTGATTGGATCATTATACGTTACATATATATATATCATTCTATGTCCCATAAATATGTATCATGACTATGGGTCAACTAAAAAGAAAAAGAAAAAAAGAAAATATGGTTAGAGATAATGCCTAAGAATTTTTCAAAACTAATGAAATTGATTCACAGATTAAGGACCAATCAACTTCAAAATTGGATAAATAAAATATAAATTCGCACCTAGATGCATCATAATAAAACCAATGATAACAAAAGACAAGGAAGAAATCTCAAAGTAGCTATAGTAGGCAGAATTCCTCCTCCTCCTCTTGAATGAGATCTGTGAATATGATGGGATAGTTCTCCCTTGGTTAGTTTTCAGTGCATGGCAAAGGTGGTGGGATAGCTACTCCTGTGATTATATTACATAAGACTCACTGGCAGCAGGCTAAAGACAGATTTTCCTGCTGGATTTGAAGAAGTAAGCTGCCATGTTGTAAGATGGCCATATGACTAGAAACTGGTGGCCTCTAGGAGCTGAGAATAATCCACAGTGAAAAGCCAACAAGAAAACAGGAACCTCAGTCCTACAACTGCAAGGAACTGAATTCTGCAAAAATCTGAATGACCTTGGAAGAGACACCTGAGATTCAGATTAGATCACAGCCCCAGCTGACCTTGATTTCAGCCTTGTGAGATCCTGAGCAGAAACTCCAAGTAACCCTTGTTTGGCTCCAACCCATAGAAAATGTGAGATTATAAATGTGTCTTGTTTTGAGGTAATAAGTTTATGATGATTTCATACATAGCAATTGCAACTGATACAGTACCTTCAAAGGAACAATTAGATGGCCATCTTCTTATGTGAAACTATGGTGAAACTATGGAAGTTGAAAGACAGTGAGATGATATCTTAACATGCAGAAAGAAAGTAATTGCAAAATTAAAATTATATGCTTAGCAAAAGTATCAAGAATGAATTCAAATTGAAATATTTTTAGACAAACAAAAACAGAAAATTTGTTACCAGAAGAACTACATTAAAGTAAATGCTAAAACATTAGACAGAAAACAAATGATTCCAAATGAAAACTAAAAGACATTAAGGAATGAAGACCAAAAGAGAGTAAATATGTGGGTAAAGATAAACGACGTTGATAAATTAAGAATGCATGTTTAACTCTCTAGATTTCAACTCGGAAATGGCTAAATTTTATATTTGCATACTTTTCCATATTATAGTTTACAATCTTAAAATGTTAAAATGCAAAAAAAGCAAAAATACGAAAGATAAGGTATGCTAAATTTGACTACAGATATTGTTTAAAGTCCTATAGGTTAAAATATCCAACATATATGCTATAAATATGAAAAAAAACTAGCATCTTATTTTTCACTGAGCCCATAAAAATCAATGAGAAAATCATGGATTTCTAACAAAAAGAACAAGGAACATTAACAAAGAATCCTCAAAAAAAAAACCACGTGCCTAGGAAAACATATTTGGGCTGTTAAATTTGTAAAATAAATCATCTTATTTCTTGCTATTACAGTTTTACATATTTTCTGATATTTACTTTGCAGGAGATCGGATGCATAGGAAAAAAATAGAGTTGAAAGAAATATGCCAAAATTATAGTGATGATTACATTATAGCAGTAGTATTATAAGTAACTTTTTGTGTTTCATTTTCTACCTTTTTCTGTAATATTTTAAATCAATTTTAGTAATTTAATTATATTTACTTAATATTTTAAATTTTCTGAAGTTATTATAAACAGAGCTTCTCTGAGTCATGTTGGTATACATTTGAAGTTTTCTTAAAAACACCTTTCTGATCCTCAAGATCCATGAAGAAGATGAAATTCAGAGTTAAGCAAAATATTAATTGCTACATCTAACCGGAATCATTGATTTTAATATCTTATCCATTGCTCAATTTAAACTTAGATACAAAAGATGTTTTGATTTCCTCCCCCAACCCACCACACAAGTAAATAAATGTTTTTTCCTAATTCATATGAGAAAGAAGGCAGGGGGAGCATCACTAAAAAAGTTAACAGAATATTTCAAGAAACTTACTCCAGTAACCATGGGTTCTTTTGGTTTTACATTAATAAATGGCTCATATATACATTACATGCACATCACTCACACCATAAACAACAAAAGTTCTCAAATTTCTCTTTGACCTTTTTTAGACTTTTGTAAGGAGAAATGAGAAATTCAGAATATAACTTGTACCACATGAAAATGATTAATTTTATGGCTTCTGAATTTTTCTATTAGAAAGTCTTACCCACTAAAAGATTATTTTAAAAAATTCCTTCATATTTTTATAGTACTCTATGGTATTAATATATTTTTATATTTAAATTTTGATCCACATGAAATTTGATGAAAAAAAAAGTACCTTTATTTTTCACTATTATCTAACACAATTTACTGAATAATCCATCATTTTTCCGTACTTAAAAGGTATACTTCATTACATACTAAATTTTCATGTATATCTATATCTCTTCCTAGACTCTTATGTTTCTATCTCTGTTTGTTCTTGGGCTTGTAACAAATTGTTTTACTTATTGTCTCACAGTGTACTGGTTAAGAGCACAAACTCTGGAGCCAGGTTGCCTGAATTTGAAGCCTGGTTCTCCCGCTTACAGGTTGTGAGATCTTGAGCAAATTACTTGACCTATCTGTACCTCAGTTTCCTTATCTATAACATGAGCATAATAATAACAACTTGTTAGGAGGTTTGTTACAAGGAATATTTCATAATATTTACAATCGGTACCAGCTACTGCAAAAACATGCCAAATTGTAAAGACCATCGAGGCTAGGAAGAAACTGGATCAACTAACGAGCAAAATACCCAGCTAACATCATAATGACAGGATCAAATTCACACATAACAATATTAACTTTAAATGTAAATGGGATAAGTGCTCCAATTAAAACACACAGACTGGCAAATTGGATAAAGAGTCAAGACCCATCAGTGTGCTGTATTCAGCAGACAAATCTCACATGCAGAGACACACATAGGCTCAAAGTAAAGGGATGCAGGAAGATCTACCAAGCAAATGGAAAACAAAAAAAAAAAGGCAGGAGTTGCAATCCTAGTCTCTGATAAAACAGACTTTAAACCAACAAAGATCAAAAGAGACAAAGAGGGCCATTACATAATGGTAAAGGGATCAATTCAACAAGAAGAGCTAACTATCCTAAATATATATGCACCCAATACAGGAGCACCCAGATTCATAAAGCAAGTCCTTAGAGACCTACAAAGAGACTTAGACTCCCACACAATAATAATGGGAGACTTTAACACCCCACTGTCAACATTAGACAGATCAACAAGACAGAAAGTTAACAAGGATATCCAGGAATTGAACTCAGCTCTGCACCAAGCGGACCTAATAGACATCTACAGAACTCTCCACCCCAAATCAACAGAATATACATTCTTCTCAGCACCACACCACACCTATTCCAAAATTGACCACATAGTTGGAAGTAAAGCACTCCTCAGCAAATGTAAAAGAACAGACATTACAACAAACTGTCTCTCAGACCACAGTGCAATCAAACTAGAACTCAGGATAAAGAAACTCACTCAAAACCGCTCAACTACATGGAAACTGAACAACCTGCTCCTGAATGACTGCTGGGTACATAACGAAATGAAGGCAGAAATAAAGATGTTCTTTGAAACCAACGAGAACAAAGACACAACATACCAGAATCTCTGGGACACATTTAAAGCAGTGTGTAGAGGGAAATTTATAGCACTAAATGCCCGCAAGAGAAAGCAGGAAAGATCTAAAATTGACACCCTAACATCACAATTAAAAGAACTAGAGAAGCAAGAGCAAACACATTCTTTTGTGGTTTTTATATATTGTACAACTACTGATTTTTGCATATTAATACTGTAATCAGCTATTTTATGGAGTTTTTACCTATTGCTTCTATTATTTTTATCATTTGATTATTTGGGTTTTCTATGCATATAGTCAAATAATCTCCAGATTGACATTTGCATCTTTCCTTCCAATTTTTATGTTTCAACTTTTCTCATCTAATTGCCTTAGTGAGGATAGCATGGCTCTAATATTTCACTATTAAATGTGATGTTTAAAGCTTAATTTTCACTTCCTATATAATGTAACTAATAATAATGATGATAGTTGCTAATAATCATTGAGTGTGTAGTGTGTTCTGTGCTCTTCACATATGTGATTGAATTAATCCTCACATTAACTCTCTAAGGAGATTTTATTATCTTCATTTTACAGATAAAGAAACTAAACTACGGAGAGTTCATGCAAAATGTCCAAGATCACACACTTGCCTCTTATAACTAGCACTGTACTAGCCACAACACTATAGTTATTGCTTTATCTGTCTCCTCACTACAATGTACCCTTTGAGGGTTGGAGTTCTTAAGACAAAGCCCTGAACACACTAGACATTCATAAATGTTTGCTTGGAGAAGGAAAGAAGGAGCTGGCTTCTGAGAAAACAATAGATTCAGTTTTGGATGTGACAAAAGAGAGCTGCCTGCAGAAATTCTGGTGGTGACCTCCTATAGACAATTGAATGAATATATCTTGAGCTGGGGAAACACGTTGGCTAAAGTTAAGGCCTGAAATCATGAACATCTGAGGGGCTTTGAAGTCATGAATGATCAAAAGCACACACAGATCTAGAGTAAGTGAAAAAAGTGAGATGGTACACAACATCGTGCTATTTCCCACCAGTAATAAACAATATGCCTAGGAAACTAGGAGGATAATTTCATGCCAACACATTTTCCTAATAGATTTCTTCAATAAAAATTCTACACATATACACACATATTTAAACTATTTAAATCTAAATAGGAATAAATTGTCTGGAAAAGAAACCCTTTCTTAGCTCTGCAGGTACACTCTATTATTCTTCCCTTCAGTGATCCTTATTGTTTTGCCTACTGTTGATATTACTTAATCTGTAGCAAATGGGCTTACCTATTGCTTTATTTTCTACTGTAGCATCTAAATTTGCCACCAATGTCTTTAATACTTCTTGAAACAACCCAATTCATATGTTAAAACCACTAAGTCATTAAAATAAAGTAAAACATGAAAAAATCTGGCACGCAAAAAAGTTGCACGCTCACTAACAGGACAAATTTTAATAATACCGACCAGATGTCAGGACCAAAAACTCAAGCGGAGTAAACATATAGGGAAAGCAGGCAAGATGACAGAGTCAGCTGGCGGAACCAGGCCTCCAGTGTCCTGTGTCAGTTTCTGCTTCTTCCTATCAGCAACAAACTGCAGCACCATGGCTTCCCTGGAATTCCCAGAAAACATGTTAGTCCAGTGCTGGATTTAAACACAGAATAGAGTTGAGAGAATTCCAACGAAAAAGCTAAGATGGAAAAAGAGTTCATAATGGACTGCCTTCTGTATTTATGCCCATTTTATTTATTTGGCGGGGTTTTTACGGAGGGAAAGCAGGGAGACTGCTGAAAATAACTGAAATCCCAATTAAAACCAGGCTAAGCAATTAGGAAAAAAAAAAGTTCCATTAGGGGAAGTCTAGGGGTTGATTCAGCAGCCTAGTGATGTTAACAAGGACGCAAGCTCTTTTTATTTTTCTGCTCTGCTGGCCTTTCTTTTCCCTTCTTTCTGAGACAGGCCCACCTTGTGGGTATGCCTAATGGCAGATGCAACTGGGGCAATGGGCTTTCTTAATCACATAGAGCAGGAAAGAAAACATCTCTCCCAATTGTAGAATATAAAGTACTCATTCTGTCTAATGGGGCAAACCTGAAATACATGCACCAATAAAACATGTTAGGTAAATTCCATGTGATGATTCTCATTTATACTAACCCAGATCCAGCTCTAGGGTTTTGGATGAGAAGAATACATGAAAAAAGAGGAGTTTCTCTGAAAAAGGCTAAAGGAGACATTTGATGCTAAAGAGGAAACAGATCATGTTCTCTACATGCCATCAGAAAAATATGAAGGAAACTAATAGGCACAGAGTTTGCTGTCATTTTCTAATCCAATATATTTTATCAGTTCATTGCTATGTATTTTAATTGTATTAAAAGTCATAGTGCATTTGCATATTTTAATGAAAATACTAGCTTTCTTTTAAAATAGAGTTAAGCTTATTTCCATTATATTTTTGAGCCATTTTTTGGCCAGAACAAATGTACTACTAATTTTCTAATAAGGCTCAATGTGAAATCCAACAAGGATCCAGAAATTATATAATATGAGATACATCCACATTTCTGCATAATAGAAGGTAAAAAAAAGATAGAAAATCTTTAGAATATCCACTATTTTCTGAGTCAAGATGGCATGTTTTGTTAATTAAATCTTTCTTGTTAATAGTTAATTAGCATCTATGCCCTTTCTCAGTGGTTTTCAAAATTATGGTAGCACTGGAACATTTTTTGCAAATAAAACTGTGCATGAAATGCTAGTATAGAAAATAAGTAAGAAGTGGAATTGCTCTGAATGAAGCAGGAGTTCCACCGACTGTGCCTGTTTCTTGTTTTGTCACTGTTCCCACCATTGGGTGAAGAGTACAGGACTTATAGAACCATTTGAAAACAATTGCCCCTTATTATTGTCAAGTATCACGGAAGTAGCAAGAAACAGAGGGCTCTTGGAATTAAAATAATGTTGTCCACAGTGCTAACCCTTTCTATGACTACTCAGATTCACATCCTTCCTAACATTAATTCACACTTTTAAAGATGTAGAAACCTCAGTCAATAGAGAATTCCATTTAATAGAACATGGTATGATTATCAAGAGAAGACTGCACTGTGAACCAAATATAACACAGTAAACAACATTCTTGTTGGAGCATATAAAATTAATAGTGTGAGAAAACAGTGATTCTTTTGCAGCTGCATTATTATACATTGTTTTGTACGATTTTCCTGTTTCATCTTATCAATTATGTATTGCATATTAATTTTCTTGTAATTTAATTATGATTTGGCTCACCCAGTTGCTATTAGCAATCAGCACAAAATAATGTAATGCATTGTAAGTAAACATATCCGTGTATAGTTAGTGCTATAGGAAATTCCAAATAAACCATTTGTTGAAATTACCAAATCTCTTTTTCACATAATAATGAGTTGAGTTTATTGTCTTGATTATATATTATTAGGTGTGGGGGGTCATGAGGATGGCCTTTCAGATTTGTCACAATTTGAGAAAAGGTCAGGACTTTTCCCCCTCCCATCCCAGTGACCAGTCATTGGATCCGTCTGTCTGCAGGGAAGAGGCTGGTGCATAACCTTGGGTAATACAGCTGCCTTCTGCAGAGGACATTCTTGTGGAGGGTTCAGCTTTGAGCAGCAGCTTCTAACATTTCCCACAGCTGTGGAATGAGTGCTTCATTCCTGAAGGGAGGTCAGTGATACACCATGGCATCAACTTCTGACTCCAACTCGTTCCTCTAAAAGTTACTTACTAAAGAAAAATAATTCAGCTTTTATTCTGACTTTTTGAAGTGAATTGGCAGAGTAACCTTGTAGCATTAATGGATGAGAGGCAGTTCAATAAAAAGGAATCTCAACTACCAAATGTGAAAGGAATGAGAGAGTTGGAAAATCAACATTTTGCAGCTTCTAAGTGAAAAATCTGATTCAGACAATGGTCATCAATAGATGTCAAAATTATGAGGGAAAATGCTGAAGGACAACTTTATAGTGAAGGGATCAGAGTTTCATCTTCTGAACTCATGAATTAATCTTAGCATCATAAAAGTTGTGCAATATGAAATACACAGCACCACTGATGAAGTCTTTTGTTCTAAAAAAAAGTTGGAACCTGCCTTTAGAGCTAGCATTGTCTACACAGTAAGAGAAACAAGTAAAACTGCACAAAGAAGCAACAGTGAAATCCGGTTAGGTGGGACCTCATGCAGGTAAATGGACCTGATTCCTTCAAAATGCCAATGGCTTGAAAAAACAAGGTGGGGTGCTAGGGGAGGAAGTGAGCAGGAAGACAGGAGGGGGAGGGTAGACTTAAAGGACGAGAAATAACAACAATAAACAATGTGGAAAATACCTTGTTTCGATCTTGATTCAAAGGGACTGTAAAAAGACAGTTTTAAGAAAATCAACAAAAGTTAAATATGGAGCGCATATTAAATAACATCGGGGAAGTATACATTAATTTTTTAAGTATGATATTACCATTGTGGATATATTAGAAAATGTCCTTACTTTTTTTGGAAATGCATTCGAAAGTATTCAGGGGTGAAATAACATAATATTTTGTATTTATTTCAAATTACTCCAGGCAAAAATAAGAAAAGGTGTAATGAGGTGGCAGGGGTTGGGAAAAGAAATGAAACAAAGGTAGCTGAGTGTTGACAATGATTAAAGCTGTGGAATAGGTACAGGGGTACACTTCCCTACTCATGCCACTTTTTCGTATGTCCAAAAATTTCCATTACAAAGTATAAAGAAATTTATTTTCTAAGTTTTATGGTATTTTTCTTTCCCAGAATGAGAAAGAATGGGAATATTGAAGACTTCAGTCCATAATGTGTTTGAGGACATGTGTGCAGAATAGTTCATTTATAAATATAACACACACTTCTGAATTTATAATTAAATACAAAGTATATGGCAATTTAGAACTTTCATTATGCCAAAAGAAAGGAATGCTTATTTTTCCTCCCTTGATGCATGTCTATTATTCAGCGATGCTAATATTGTGTAAACACAAAGCAAATGATGGAACATAATGTATACTTTCTTTAATGAAATATTATTATTCTGTTTGTGAAGAAGGGATTCTATCTCAGACTTCTAGCCCCAAGATGATACTGTCCAGCATCATTATATTTCTAGCCCAATCTACTTTTTAGCTGAAATACTCATTAAAATATGCAGGGAAACATTGTACTTTCATAATTCACTTACTGCATATCAATTTCTGAGACTGAATCTTCTGACTGTATATTTGCCCTAGTTTCTACAAATCTAGAGGCATAGTCAAATTGTAGACTGAGGTTTATATGTGTTTGAGTACTTTGAATGTTTAGACAAGGTGTCATAGTGTTGACTGTAAACATTATTGATATCAAATTGGGAGAGAGAGAATGAAAGATGAAGGATACTAAGTGTCACTGGATTCACATGTCTGAGTACAAGGACAGTGTCACGACTTCTGGCATTTCGCTCAGGATCCATGAGCCTTCAGTCAGAGTAGGGGGTTCCTGCATTACTAAGTTGTTCACTGTAATGGACATGATGCGGAATCTTGATATTTTTTTCTTCCCAAACCAAGGATCTTTTCTAAGTTCCCATTTCTGTTTACGTGTCCGTGCAGTTTATATTCTTGAGCAAAACTAGCTGTCACTTGAAGTGTATGCTTGTATGACTAGTAGAAAATATACTCATCTTCAACTCTGGATTTTTTGTTTCAGTTCTTAATCATACCACTTGTAGTGGTCATGTAGTCACAATAAATGAGGATTTATCATATAGTTCTTAAGTATGTGGGGGTCACAGACCACTTTGAGTATCTGCATCAGTCAATGTCTTTTAGTTGCAAGCAACAAAAGCCAGTTCTGCTCAATTTAAGCGGAACTCTGATACATTAAAGGTATAGTGGATAGTTTACAGAATTGTTGGGCATGATGAGGAATCAGCTTTGGGATTAGGCATGCAGGAACTCTGCCCAAAATCTTTCTTCAGAATCAGTTTCAGTGAGGACACCCCAGCTGCATCTCTGAGTATCCGTGCTAAGGCTTTGCTGCTTGAATTACCATCACCTGTCACTGGGCAGGACTGCAAAACTAGCAGCGTCCTTCTGCCACCACCGTCAGAGAGTTCCCTGCATACCCCACGTTTGGGTCTCTAGTTCCCAAATACAGTTCAGGAACACTGGTAAAGTAAGGGGCAAGTGTTCACACCACAGCTTCAAGGGAGGATACAAAAGCATTTGTCTGGCATTTTCACCTTCCACAGTGGGAGGTGAACAAGATTCATGGAAGGGCTGCCAGGTGCCAGGCAGAGAAAGGGGAAAAAAAGATAAATATCCAGTATAAAACCTCGAATGAATGTTAGGTTCTTCCTAGAAAAAAAAAATACACACACACAATTTTTAAAGTATTTTGGGGTGAGTTTCTTGAAGTTTCAAGACCCATTCTTTGGATTACTAGAGAGAAAATAGATCTTGATGGTTGTAGTAGTTGCTGCTGAGAAAACAAATTCTGGTAAGCCTATAGAGAATTCATTCTAATTTAGTTCTAATTTTCAAAATCAAATATTTAAACTTAATATTTATATATCAGGTTGAGTTTAAGGTGAAAAGTATACTGATAGGTATGTGTTTAAAATTAAAACAATTTATATAAATAATCCCTTTCCCTTATGAGTTTTATGTCTGTGAAAATAATCAATTATCATCATGTTAATGAAAGAACAGTTTTATTATTACTCATGTAATAATAATATTAATCAGGGCCCCATCTATCTTGTCTTCAGCTGTGAGTCATACATATATATATATATATACTCTGAAAAGCAGTACTGTATCCCTCCAAAGATATAAACATGGATGTTCCCATGGCAACATAAACAAATAAGGGTAAAACTCTCAAAGATCTCCCGTAGATGCACAAAATGAGAAGCCTCTGCCACAAACACATTTTATGAATAAACTATATATATATGACTCATATATATGGTGTATATATGACTTAATTGTGTATATATATACACACATCCAATGTGTATATATACACATATACACTCAATGTGTATATATACACATATACACTCAATGTGTATGTATATACACATATATATGTACATGTGTATATGTATATACACACACACGTAATCCAGCTATCGAAACTTATTTCAGATAAATTTTGATCTTTTAGTTTTATCTCTCAAGAAATAAGAAAAATCTAATTCACAATCCATCACACTTGCCTCCTCTCCTCTCCTGTCTTCCCTCAGTCTCTCATATCCCCTTGATTCTCTAGAGTTTTGTTGTCTGATATAGTAGACATTAGCTGTATGTAGCTATTAAGCTGTAAAGTACTAATAATTAAAATGAAATGAAATTTGAAATACTCCAGTCACATGAGCCACAGACAAGTGCTCAATAGCCATGTGCAGCCAGTGGCTACATTATCGGACGGCTCAGACATAGAACAAGTCCATAACTGCAGGAAGTTCTATTGGACGATGCCTCTACTGTAACCGACTACCAAACTCTGACACCCGCCTGTGCAGTGTCCTGTTACCCCAGTGTCCCCAGCTCTTGAAATGAAACGGTGGACACTCAGTTCAGCCCTTCTTTTTCTTTCACTTCTCAGGTCAGCTCCTTCTCTTGCATTTTTTCTAATTTCACATCATGAATGGATCCAGAGACTGAGCTGACAGAGACAGAAAGCTCTCTGAGAAAGAAGTAAGCATGGAGTCAGGCAGGGAATACTTACATGTGTAGACATCTCGTCATGATCGCACCAATAATAATAATTACTATTATTTACTAAATGCCTTCTGATGCACCCAGGATTTCTACCTAATATATTACTTCTAATGCTCATAACAACCCTTTAAGAGGGCAATTACTTCAATTTTATTTTAAAAACAAAAAGGTAACGATTTTCTTTTTTTTTTTTGTCTGTCAGTCAGACTGGAGTGCAGTGGGGTGATCACAGCTTACTGAAGCGTCGACCACCAGTACTCAAGCAATCCTCCCACCTCAGCCTCTTGAGTAGCTGGGACTACAGGTATGCACAATCACACCCTGGCTAATTTTTTATTTATTTATTTATTTATTTATTTATTTATTTATTTATTTATTTTGTAGAGATGGGGTCTCACCATGGTGGTCTGAAACTCCTAGACTCAAGGGATCCTCCTGCCTTGGCCTCCCAAAGTCCTGAGGTTACAGGTATGAGTCACGGCTCCCAGCCATAAAAAACAAAGCTCTGAGAACTTAAATATTTCACCCACAGTCATACAGCTAGTAGAGGTTGAAGCCAGAAGTAGATGCACTATTTCTTAACTATGAGGCCCGTGTGCTTTCTGTTGCACCACTCTGAAAAGCAGTACTGTATCCCTCCAAAGATATAAACATGGATGTTCCCATGGCAACATAAACAGATAAGGGGAAAACTCTCAAAGATCTCCCATAGATGCACTAAATGAGAAGCCTCTGCCACAAACACATTTTTTGACTAAACTCTTTGAAGGGAGAAAACCTTCTTGATCATGTCCCAGCATAGTCTGGCCACAGGCATTTTAAAGATTCAAAACTCATTATAAAAACGAATAAGAAATATTTTCCCTTTTGGACTTCAATGATACGTTCCAACTCTTCTAGTTCGGCCTTAAAAATAAGTTTAAAATGTATAATCAAATAAGCAGATGGAAGAATGCCAGTTTTACCCCTCATTACTGGTAGTCTCTGCAAAACCATCTGATTTTAATCTTTTCACTTGATTTCCCTCATGTTTTAAAAATTCGTCCAGCCAGTGAGGAATAAATGCCAAACAAGTATAGTGTTATGTCTGGGGCTTGCCAGAAATTCAAATGTAGGCATTACCAGTTTGCTATAAAAATCAGTGTAAGAAATGTTTTAATTCCACAAGCAGAAGCACAAATGCTTCTCCCTACCCCCTTAAAAATCATGTTAAGAAAAAAGATTTTCCTTTTCTGGAATTTAAAGAGAGCTTAGCTTATAAGAAGAAAACAATACATTTAGAGGAGAAAAGAAGATGGACTTTGCTAATCTCTCCATTTTTCTTTTCCCATTTCTTCTTCACATTTCCATTGTGCCAACAGTAAAATTGTTTTTTAGAGTGCTAATTAAAGCAAATTCTAGCAAAAAAAATATTGGTATTTATCTGTTACTGGCTTAGGAAGCATATGTGTATTGCCAGACAAAATTTAACTGACATTATTTAATCAAGGAATACAACTGTTTTGCATGTAAAGTGAATTCAGAAAATCATATTTACTAGTGCCTGAGAGCACTTTACAGGAACCATATATGGTTTCAAATATTAACAAACGCTATCACATGGAGAGAATATGGTTTCCAAATATCCTATCTTGTTTAGTGAAGCAAGTATAGATTATATTTACTGAATCTTGATTTAAAAAAAGAATGAATTTCTCTACTATTAAAGGTGAATCATCATAAAGCCAAGATAGAAAAACAGAGAGAGAGAGAGAGAAAGAGAGACAGATTTTAAACACAGTAAGAAGAGACTCCCAAGCTATTTTCAGGGTAGAAATAAATATTATCTTAGTTGTAGTTGCATCTGTAGACATATCTTTACAGTCCTTTATATTTGTTAACCCAACTAAGAACCTAAAATGTTTCCAACTCTACTGCCCTGGTTTCGCATTTAGTAAGGCATTAAATCCTCAGGATTTGTGAATAAGCTTTCTTCCAACCTATAGAAATGGTTCTAATCGTGTTCCAGAATTAGAAATAATAAAAAGTCACCAAACTGAGAATCCTGTGACTCTGCCTACTCTCCTCCCCTTTCCAGGTCCCACTCATATGTCACCTCCTCTCTTCCTAGACAACAACCTTGAAAAGTGGCCTCTCCTTCCCTTCTATCTGACACTACCACATATGTCAAGTATGACTAACTCATGCAGAAAAGGAGTTTATTTCAAGAATATTGAGGAGCTAAAGGCATAGGAATTGACCATAATTGTAGTGATTGATATCTCAGCAGAGCTCAGCAACAAGGTCAGTCAAAGGGGTTAACAATTTCATCAGCTACAACTAAATTTTTCAATTTTTGAGTCACTCTGGAAGACAGTGGAACAGGCATGATCTGGTTCACAAGATCTTACTTTGGCTAAAAAAATGCAGAGCGCTTTGATTTATAGCCCTCCAAGACTGCAAGAGGAAAATAATTCCAAAAACTGAATTGGGTACTGTCGCTGAAAGGAGGAATGCATGTTAAGCAAATGGTGACTGCACTACTCATATATCAATTCATCAGGCTCTGCCTAAAAATGTCCTTTGGTTTTCATCCTCAAATGTTATTTAGGTTGCATTTTGTAATTTAACTTTTACTTATCTTCATCTTTCCTACTACATTGTCAGCACCTCAAAAGCAAAAATAACTTCTTTCTTTAAATCACCTACAGTGCTTTGTATAAAGCAAATGCTCAATAAAATTTTATTGATTTACAACTAGAAATAACAACTTCTTAAAGGTCAGCTTCACTTCACAGTAAAATCACTTTGTGTTTTTCCATTCAACCTCTTAAAAAGACAGGTTTTCAATATTTGCAGCTGTTTGTTCTTTCAACAATATTTAGTATTTTTGGGGGAAGAGGAATCGCTGGGAGTAGTTGCTGAGTACAGAAAGAATGTGTCAACAGATGAGGAGCTTAGCATTCACATAGGGCGTATTAATCTTAAATATTTACATCACACTGTAAAGATATCAGTGATTGCCAAGTGATGAAACTGTGCCCAACGAACTGCAGGATCTGAGCTCCAAGACTCAAAATTATGTCTGACCACTTTCTATTGTTTACTGAAAATACAGCACATTGGACAAGGGTTCTAACCTTCATAGTGATAAACAAAAGGCTCTGTGCAGGGGGTTATCATCAGAGCTCTAGAGGCACATTTCCCACAGCTGTTAGTAAGAGGCAAACATTGGCCTGCAAAGCAAACCATGGAAACATGATACCTGCCTTTTCCTAACTGGCTGTTTCAATCTATGTGTTATTTGCTCCCTTTGGCCTCCAGTTCCCTCTCCTGAAAAATAAAGGTGCTAGACTACAACATCTCTATGATCATTCCCAACTCTACTATTCTCCGAATCTATGTTTCCGTGACTCTCCTCTTCAAATAAACAAAGCATACCTTACTACTGCTAGTAGTTCTAATAATAATGGCTAACATTTACTGAGTTCACACTAAGACTGAAAGATTTACATAGCTGTTATTCACTACAATCTTATCAGGTAGATATTAACTATCTCCATGTTATATGTGGAAAAAAAAAAGCTGAGATGTATATATGAAAAAACTGAAGATGCAACTAAGTAGCAACTTACCTAAGATCACAAAACTAAAATAAGGTCAGGATTCATATCCAATTCTATTTCACTCCAGAGATTGGGCTATCAATTGCTGTAATCTACAACTTTGCAAATATCCACTGTAACTGTAAATTCAGCCATGTTAAATCAGTAGATGAGAGAGTATCTACCTAAGCTTCTGACTAGAAACAGTGTTTTAGAGCATTAAGCATAGATAATCAAATAGCCACAACCATTTTGATATCAGAACACAGTTCTCTTTTTGCTGTGGTACATTATCATTTCTCTGTGGTACATCTTGACGTATCACCATGATGTTCATATGCCTGGATTGAGAAAGAAGAGTAGTTAAGAAACCATCATCCAATCCAACAAGATCCATGGAATATCTATTTCCAGTGGTTGCAGCTGCCTGGAGTGAGGCAGAAGACTTCCATCTCAATTACTTAAAAGTAGTGGTTCATTTTTATAGATGATACCTCTGGAAAGGAAGATCAAATATGTGTTTGCTTGTTATATTTGCTGAAGTCCTGCCTCAAACAAAATTGCACAAAAGTAAGTTTATTTTTGTCACCTTCATTTTTTCAATGCCACCCTTTCAGTAGTGCTTCTTCCTCTTCTCAGGCTTCATACTCTCATTCTCTCCTTTTTTCAAATCCTGATCTTATAAACCATCAAGACAGAAAAATGTCTCAAGGTGTGTATGAATGAAAGCAAAAGGTATGAGTGCAGAGACTATCTGTGTTGACATGACTTAATTAAGAATACAGACCAGCTATGTCATCATGAATTAGTTATTTGTTCCAGGAAACTTTGCCTAGGAGAGATAAAGCTGTAAACCAATGAAAACAAAACAAAACAAAACAAAAACACCTCACTGTTTCAGGAAATTTCTACAGAGTACTTATCAGAGATAAGAGTCTGCTCACCTGGGCAAACATTTTCTTATCATACCAAATTACCAAGCCTTGTTTCAAGACCCTCACTTCACAGGGTCTACAAATTTTTAACTAATATATTACAAATTTTGCCCAATTCAAATGAGTTCCTCAGTTTGAAAGACATACTTCAAACCATGTCAGCTCAGATCCCAAGGCACTAAAATTAAATCATTTCTGACTTTCTCCTTCTGAGTCACTGTTATGACTATTAAGGTAAACGTCTTTCTAACTGCAGTGAGCTCTAATAAATTTAGCATTGCTTTATTAATAGGTTGCCTGGTGATTTGGGGAGGAGTCCAATAGGCATTATATGTAAAATGTATTACTTATATTTCTCTAGGTCACAGCAGCCTGGGAATACAATGTTCAAGTACGTAATATCATTTCTCTGATTAATTACTGGCAAAGACAAGAGTTAAATATGCCCACTTAGTCATAATTGCAGAATCTCAGCTCCAAAACTACCAACCTATTACTTTTTTATGTTTTTTTTTTAAAAGCAAGGTCCTGCTCTGCAGCCCAGGCTGAAGTGTAGCAGCACCATCATATTTCACTGCAGCCTTGGCCTTCAGGGCTCAAATGATCCTCCCATCTCAGCCTCCTGAGTAACCGGGATTACAGGCACATGCCTCCACATGCAGCCAATATATATATATTTTTTTTGAGATAGGGTCTGTCTCTGTCACCTAGGCTGGGGTGCAGTGGCACTATCTCAGTTCACTGCAACTTCCGCCTCCCCGGTTCGAGCAATTCTCATGCTTGAACTACAGGCATGTGCCACCATGCCCAGCTAATTTTCTTTGTATTTTCAGTAGAGATAGGGTTTCACCATGTTGCCCAGGCTGGTCTTGAACTCCTGGGCTCAAAGAATCTGCCCGCCTTGGCCTCTCAAAGTGCTGGGATTATAGGCATGAGCCACCACACCCAGCCCCAGCCAATTATTTTTTAAAGAATTGTGTAAGTTGGATTCCTAGGTATTTTATTCTCTTTGAAGCAATTGTGAATGGGAGTTCACTCATGATTTGGCTCTCTGTTTGTCTGTTATTGGTGTAAAAGAATGCTTGTGATTTTTGCACATTGATTTTGTATCCTCAGACTTTGCTGAAGTTGCTTATGAGCTTAAGGAGATTTTGGGCTGAGACAACGGGGTTTCCTAGATATACAATCATGTCATCTGCAAACAGGGACAATTTGACTTCCTCTTTTCCTAATTGAATACCCTTTATTTCCTTCTCCTGCCTGATTGCCCTGGCCAGGACTTCCAACACTATGTTGAATAGGAGTGGTGAAAGAGAGCATCCCTGTCTTGTGCCAGAAGAACCTCTTCAGGGAGAACTACAAACCACTGCTCAATGAAATAAAAGAGGACACAAACAAATGGAAGAACATTCCATGCTCATGGGTAGGAAGAATCAATATCATGAAAATGGCCATACTGCCCAAGGTAATTTATAGATTCAATGCCATCCCCATCAAGCTACCAATGACTTTCTTCACAGAATTGGGAAAAACTACTTTAAAGTTCACTTGGAACCAAGAAAGAGCCCGCATTGCCAAGTCAATCCTAAGCCAAAAGAACAAAGCTGGAGGCATCACGCTACCTGACTTCAAACTATACTACAAGGCTACAGTAACCAAAACAGCATGGTACTGGTACCAAAACAGAGATATAGACCAACGGAACAGAACAGAGCCCTCAGAAATAATGCCACATATCTACAACTATCTGATCTTTGACAAACCTCACAAAAACAAGAAATGGGGAAAGGATTCCTTATTTAATAAATGGTGCTGGGAAAACTGGCTAGCCATATGTAGAAAGCTGAAACTGGATCCCTTCCTTACACCTTATACAAAAATTAATTCAAGATGGATTAAAGACTTAAACGTTAGACCTAAAACCATAAAAACCCTAGAAGAAAACCTAGGCAATACCATTCAGGACATAGGCATGGGCTAGGACTTCATGTCTAAAACACCAAAACAAATGGCAACAAAAGCCAAAATTGACAAATGGGATCTAATTAAACTAAAGAGCTTCTGCACAGCAAAAGAAACTACCATCAGAGTGAACAGGCAACCTAAAGAATGGGAGAAAATTTTTGCAATCTACTCAACTGACAAAGGGCTAATATCCAGAATCCACAATGAACTCAAACAAACTTACAAGAAAAAAATCAAACAACCCTATCAACAAGTGGGCGAAGGATATGAACAGACACATCTCAAAAGAAGACATTTATGTAGCCAAAAGACACATGAAAAAATGCTCATCATCACTGGCCATCAGAGAAATGCAAATCAAAACCACAATGAGATAGCATCTCACACCAGTTAGAATGGCGATCATTAAAAAGTCTGGAATCAACAGGTGCTGGAGAGGATGTGGAGAAATAGGAACACTTTTACACTGTTGCTGGAACTGTAAACTAGTTCAACCATTGTGGAAGTCAGTGTGGCGATTCCTCAGGGATCTAGAACTAGAAATACCATTTGACCCAGCCATCCCATTACTGGGTATATACCCCAAGGATTATAAATCATGCTGCTATAAAGACACATGCACGTGTATGTTTATTGTGACACTATTCACAATAGCAAAGACTTGGAATCAACCCAAATGTCCAACAATGATAGACTGAATTAAGAAAATGTGGCACATATACACCATGGAATACTATGCAGCCATGAAAAATGATGAGTTCATGTCCTTTGTAGGGACATGGATGAAGCTGGAAACCATCATTCTCAGCAAACTATCGCAAGGACCAAAAACCAAACACAGCATGTTCTCACTCATAGGTGGGAATTGAACAATGAGAACACATGGACACAGGAAAGGGAACATCACACACCAGGGCCTGTGTGGGGTGGGGGAAGGGGGGAGGGATAGCATTAGGAGATATACCTAATGCTAAATGACGAGTTGGTGGGTGCAGCACACCAACATGGCACATGTATACATATGCAACAAACCTGCACGTTGTGCACATGTACCCTAAAACTTAAAGTATAACAAAAAAATAAAAAATAAAAATAAAAGAATTGTGTAGAGATGGAGTCTAGCTGTGTTGGCCAGGCTAATCTTGAACTCCTAGCTTCAAACAATCCTCCCACTTCAACCTCCCAAAGTGCTGAGGTTATAGGCATGAGCCACATGCTTGGCCAAAAACTACCAATGTATTTCTAAAAGACCTGAAATATGTCTCAAATGTACTCTTAACCCAATCTTCTCATTATCCATTGACTACTGAGGCTTCTACTACATTCAGATTTAAATAAAGGAAACAGCACTATAATTGGAAGCCAGTATTAAGCTTTTCCCTTGGCTGTGCAACTACTGGCATCCACTAACGTCACTGACCGGGCTGACCACCACTTAGATCATTGCTGGCTTAGCATTCTGAGCTGACCACATGTTCAAAGCTAGCCAAAGCCAGTGCTGCTCATGCCACTGCTTCAAGGGCTGAAGGTGAGGAGAACTCATAGTGAGGACTACTCATGAGGTTACCCTGTGTAAGCCATTACCTGCTGCACATATGTGTAGGGCTAGTGGGTGGCCACATATTACCATTATTGATGAGCAGTTAAACAATGAGGGGCAAATGAGTAGAATATAAAGAATTAAAAACATATTTATTCATTTATTCCTTCTTTCATGCACTCAACATATATTTTAGTGTCTTCTGGCTGTGACAAGAAGTAATTCATTAATGTCCTCAAAGTGTTAGTATCTATAGAGCAGTTTTGGCATCCATTCATCATTCACCCCCATCTATACTGAGCACCTTCTATGTCACAGACAATGCGTCTCTGGGTGTGAACAAGACAGACAGTCCTCACCTATTGCAAAAGAAGAGTGAGGAAATAGATAATGAAACAGTTGGAATATAGGATGACAGTTTCAGTGTAGGGGAAGTAGAGGGTGCTAGAAGAGCAAAAAGATAATGAACCAATCCAGATTTAAAAACCAAGGAAGGCTCTTGGAGCAAGTAGTCTGTGAAGTCTCAGAAGCAAAGGAAAACATCATATATTCAGGGAATGAAAAGTTCAGGATGGCCAGAACGTATAATGTGAAATAGGAGGACAGGGAACATGTGAAGCTGAAGATTGGGGAATAGACCATGGAAAGTCATGTTGAGGATTTTGCAATCTATTCTCAGAGGGAAAAGAAGGCTACTTATGGCTTTAACCAGAAGTGTAAATCTATCAAATTTTCAGAGTGGTTACTCTGGAAACATTGTGGGAAATGAATTAGAAGTCAGCAAATAAGAATCAGGAAGCCCTACTAAGAAGCTATTAAAATAACTCAAGCAAGAAATTATGGTTTCCTGGACTAGTGTGTGGTAGCAGCAATGATGAGGGGAAAAGAAGGTGGGACAGATCTGAGAGACAGTGGGGGGTGGGGAAATAGAACTGATAGCCCATGATGATTGGCTGGCAGGGTTAAGGAAG
This sequence comes from Homo sapiens, assembly GCF_000001405.40. Taxonomy (NCBI): domain Eukaryota; kingdom Metazoa; phylum Chordata; class Mammalia; order Primates; family Hominidae; genus Homo; species Homo sapiens. Next base: position 153,967,478 of record NC_000003.12, read on the forward strand.
TGGGAAGTCATCATTCTCAACCGATGACTCAGGTCACATCCACTCCTCAGCTAAAAATCCTTTGGTGTTTCCCATCTCACTCAAAATGAAAGCCAAAGTCTTTACAGTGGGCTATAGGGACTGACGAAGCCTACACCAAACCCATCACCCCACTTACCCCTACCCCATTGCCTCCTGCAAGCTCACTCCATCTCACTCACACCAATCTCCTGGTGGTACCCAAGCATTTCTGGCACTATCTTGCTTCAGAGCCTTGCCCTTGCTATTTATTCCATCCAGATAACAATATGGTTCATACTCTTGCCTTCTTCAAGTCTTTGTTTAAATATCACCTTTTCACTGAGGCCTCTTCTGATCATACCACTAAAAATTTCAACCTCCATGACAGTACTCCAAATTTTCTTTTTAATGCCTATCACTCTTTGAATTATGATGTACAGTTTATTTATTTTGGTTATTAACTATCTCCCACTACTTGGATATAAGCTCCTCGAATTGAGGCAGAGTTGGATCTTGCTTTGTTCACTGTTGTATCTCCAGTTCTCAGCACAGTGGTTAGGATGTCGTAAGCATTCAATGTCTATTAAATGAATTAATGGGCCATCCCCATGTCTGTAGCCTGACCAACTAGTCAGATGGTGGTTCCAATCACTGAGATAGGAAAGATGAGTGGTAGGTAAGTTTCAAGTTCAGTTTAGGATCATTTGGGGAGTCCCCTTGCCAGTACCAAAACTAATATTATCAGCACGACACTGGTATTAGTCTTTTTGCATGCTGCTGATAAAGACATACTTGAGAGTGGGCAATTTACAAACAATAGAGGTTTAATTGGACTTACAGTTCCACATGGCTGAGGAGGCCTCACCATCATGGCAGAAGGCAAGGAGGAGGAAGTCACATTTTACATGGATAGCGGCAGGCAAAGAGAGAGCTTGCGCAGGCAAACTCCCATTTTTAAAACCATCAGATCTTGTGAGACTCATTCACTATCACAAAAACAGCATAGGAAAGACCACCCCCATAATTCAATCACCTCCCACTGGGTTTCTCCCATGACACGTGGGAATTGTGGGAGTTACAATTGGAGGCGAGATTTGGGTGGGGACACAGCCAAACCATGTCATTCTGCCTCTGACCCCTCCCAAATCTCATATTTTCATATTTCAAAACCGATCATGCCTTCCCAACAGTCTCCCAAAGTCTCAGCTCATTTCGGCATTAACCCAAAAGTCACTAAAAGAAAATTTCTCAGGATTGAGAAGTGTGAGTCTCTTGACTGAAATGGCTCATTCAGTGCTCTGCTCATGAGATAAGGCTCACAGCAAGGCACATTAGTGTGAAAGTTCAGAACACCTACTAAAACAGAAGATCCTAAAAGTTTGATGGGAAAGTCAAAAAGTCACATAAAAAGGAAAAAGAAAGTGAAAATGGCATCTGAATTCTCACTAGCAACACAGCAAGTCAGAAAACAACAGAGCAAAGCCTTCAAAAATTGAAGTGAAAATAAATTTTAGTCTAAAATACTAAACTGAGCTAATCAAGAATGTAGAATTTTTCAGGCATGCAATGATTCACAATATTTATCCCACTTGTGTGTCTCCTTTCCTATGATGCAAGCAGAGTGTGTGCTTCAACAAAGTTAAAGGGTAAATCAAGGACTAGGGAGACATGGCACTAGGAAACAGTGGATCCAACACAGGAAAAGTGACAGTGGAAGTTCTGGGATGACAATTGCTCAGCACACCCAGAAAACTACCTGTCAGATTGTTGGGGCAGGAGGATGGATTGAGGTCTCTAGGCAAAAAAAAAAAAAATGAAATACTTGATCATCCCATGTTAGATTATCTGGAAAATATTATCAATAAGCAGTTGAAAGGTCTATCACATAGGTCATAGGTAATAAAAACTAAGCAAATTTTTAAAAAATCAATTATTAACTTTAGGAGAAAACAAAAAGTTATGTAAAAGAGGAAACATCATACACATAGTAGAGTGTATAGCTCAGCAACAAACAATATTTATCTTAGCATACAAACGTGAATGTTCACTTTCATTTAAATTAAAATTTGCAAAAAGAGAATAGCTGACAGATTATATTGTATATGAAAAATTTGAGAAATAAACCACGTTAAATAAAGGAAAATTTAAAAAGTAATTGGAATTAATTTTACATCATTTGGTGGTTCTGTATTTAAATATTCAATTTTAGTGTTTATTTGATAATTTCCTCTGTGTCTCTGTGAAAATCCTGTTAAGTAGATACTGGAAGTCATGTATTCATAATTCAAAGTTGTTATCTAGTCTTTCTTTCCCACCTGTTTTTTTCTTTATACTACTTTCTGCAACTTTATCTTCATACTCTTTATTAAATTTTGATTTTAAATTTCATTTAGTTAATTTAATACTCTTCATTGAATATTTTATATACTAATATTTCATTTTCAGGAGCTCTTTCTTCTTCTCTTTCACAGCATTCTTGTATATTTTTGAGATCATTAATTATAGTTCCTTGGATGTTCTCTACTGTTCTGTGTATTGTTTCTATTTCAGATAACTATTTTTTCATAATTTGGTTTCTCTTTTTCATTTGGAAATGTCAGCAAATCTCAAACATTAGCCTGCTTCACAATCCCCCAAAAGGCTTATCAAAACACAGATTACAGAGTTGCATCCCCAGAGTTTCTGATTCAGTAGGTTGGGGTTGGCCAGACAATTTGCATTTCTCACAAGTTCCCAGGGGATGTACTGCTGCTTGTCCAGAGACTAAACTCTGAGGACTGTTTGAGGCACTATGGAGTTGTATACCTTGACAAGTAAAGGTGACTCATGCATGTAAAGACTAAAGACCTGCTTTGGGTTCTCTGCCCAGGCCCTTCCTCAGAAGAACCCCTAGATTATGGTTTTAGCCAGAATTTAGGGTTTTGTGGATTGGGCTTAGGATGGACTCAGTTTGGATGGTAGCAATTTAAAAATTTTAAACATGTTGCACATCTTGGTAGAAAATTGCTGTGCAAATAAAACATATAATGTATACAATAGTATAACATTCTTATAATTCCAAAAGCTGTGCTTGCAAAATAGGTAGTTTTCATAGAAAAGAGCAGAGAATAAATTACAAAGATGTTTCCAGTAAAAGCTTAGGATGTAGGATGTCACTGTGACTTTAGCTACGGTAATATAAAAGAATGAGAAAATTGCATAATACATCCTGATTATCTTTATTAGCTATTGAAATCTTCCTGCTGATGAGTGGAAATTTGAGAATTGAGTTGCAGCCTCCCAAGTGACAATGACACTGAACAACCTGTAAATTATGTATTTTCAGCAGTAAAAGGGCAATAAGTATATTCTTTAAGAGTGTCCATCTCATAAAAGATATTATCATTTATGGTTTTCCTTTTCATTGGTTCTAATTGTCTTGCAAATCTTAGTCTGCAATGGTTAAAAATAAGACAAACAGCTCTGTCTAGTGGTAAATTTGATCACTGCAACCGAAGTCAAGAACAGTTCTCAAATCAAATTCTTTTTAAAAATCTGTCTAAAACTTGGCAAGCAAACATGACAGGAGGTAGCTGTTTTAATCCTTGCTCAGGAGACACAATGGATAAACACTTAAAGCCATCAGTCATGTCATCTCCATTTGGGACTTGTCTCAGCAGCTAAGAGAGACAGGTGTAAAACCCAGCTCAGTAATTTAATTTAAAGGGAAATACTTTGTGAAATTATGCTTTTCAGATAACTTTGTAAAACATAGGTGCAAATCTTAGCCTGTTCTTATCTTTACCCTCCTGTATTTTTTCCCTTTCCTCTCTCCTGCCTTTCAGAGAAATCTGGAATTAAACTATAAGTCAGAATCTGCCATTTTTCATATAGCGGAGATAAACCACTGCATGGCAGCTGGGGTTCCCTGCCTTTGACAATTGTGTCCACAAAGCATTCCAGTATGTGAATAAAACACTATGTGGAGAAAATGAAGAACAGCAGCTATTACCTCCCAATTCCACCGTGAAGCACTCATAAAACGGCAGTCTTTTTCTTGTGAGCACTGGTACATCAGGACAAAGTCTTACCTTTTTCCATGCCTTTCCACTTTTATAAAATAATGTGAAGCATCTTATAATAAATTTTAAAAAGGACAAATAAAATCAAGTTTAAAAAAAACAGGAGATGAGGACTCCAACTGGTGTAAAATTGGGTCCTGTGGTATTTCCAGATATATGGAATAGAGAGGATATTTGCTGAAGTGAATTAAAACTGATTGGACAGGGAGAATAAAAATTTAGTTGCTTTTTTATACATTATAAGATAATAAGCCTATGGTTATGCTCCAAAGTAAAATGATCAAAGGGTCAAAATATTACATGTGTTTGATATTATAGTCAAGAAGGTAATTAATATTGAAGATGTCAATTAAAAATTAACATATATTCAAGAAACATTTTGGTGTTAAATTACTTAGTTTCTGAAAATAAGTGCAACAACATGCTTGTTAGTTAAAAACAAAAGTACCAAAAAATATAAAGAAGGTTAAAAAAATCCCATAATGCAAGATCTATATGTAGATAAGCACTGCTAACACTGAGTGTATATCATTTAAGATTGTATTCCCATGGAAAAAGAAGCTATGTTCATTCTTAGGACAGCAATTATTCTTTTTTATACATTAACATTATGCATATGGGTGAAGACTCATGGTGAACATAGAAAATAACCTGATTCAATAGGAAATGCAGATAAGCTTTTTAAAACACAATTTAAAACAGATTATTCATTAAATGTTTCAAAAGGATGAATTTGTGTAGACAATCCACGTTGTGAGATCAAAAAGGTAAATTTAGAGACCTGAAAGATGTGAATGATACCAATGCTGTCAATTTCATGGTTATAATGAGGCAGGAAGGGAAATAGATGTGTTCTCTCAAACTTTCCCTCAATGGCAACATTCTCCCTAAGTTTTTAAGTTATGTAATGATCACAATATAATATAAGCAACAAACTAAGAAGTCTAAGAATCCTGAGCATGATTTAGTGCTATAATCAAATAAAACCCACCACAAGACTAATGTGACACATATTTAATGATATGCATAATCACTGTAATATTACACGGCAATTTAGTATAAATGGCAAATGATTACTTAAATGACTGAAATTAGCATTACTTTCACACAGCCAAATTAAGCATTTCTAGGGTCAGCTGAGGAGAGAGATAACAAGACAGACTAAAAAGCAGCCACAAGACCCCGCCAAAGAAAACCAGGCAGCTGGGTTCCCCTGGTGCTTGGGCGACAGCACAGTGCTGAGAAGGGGAAAGGGAAAAAAATATGGTAAGACTCCCACGAAGGCGCCAGGAGGGTACAGTTTGTGCCTCCCAATTACTTTCTTTTGTTTTGTTCCATCTGGGAGTTTCTAGAATTCAAGACAATTTGATCTTCCCTACCAGATAAGTGGTAGGACCCTACTACCACTAGACTCCTGGAGTTAAAGACAAGGAAGTCTTTGAAGTCACACAGAGAGGTTTGTCTGGTTTCAATCTCTGCCCACTACTGACCTCCACTCTCTAGGTTAGCCTCAACAAGAACAGATTTGACTACATACGTGACTTAAGGGAAACTCTTGCACTTACTGCTACTGTCACCTCCATCACCATCACCATGTAGAACCACTGTACAAGGTCTGAAATATCAGCCATTTCTTCCAGTTAATAAATAAGCAGACCTGCAATGCTTAGCAGATGGATGTTCATATCTGAACAGAGAAAGAGCACTGGGTGTTTTTTTATTTCTGGGAAGAGGGGTTACACGAGGAGAGAATAAAGATAGTACAAAAATTAAAGAAAGAAAAGACAAATTTTCACCTTTCTCAAAAATTTACCCAGACCTAACCCTGCCTATTAATTCATCAGAAAATGAAAAGAACATAGTATTTGAAGACTTTGAAAAGTTCCTATAGTGTTTGTACCATAGCTGTGTGAGCTTAGATAAGTTACTTAACCTCTCTGAGCCTTCGTTTCTTTATCTAAAAAAGTAAGTAAATGATAGGAGTATACCTACTTAGTTCACAGAAATGTAAACTGATTAATATACATCATGCTTCTTACACGCTTCCACCAAAGATACCCACAGTGATTGAGAGTGCATCCATGCCTATGCAGATTCTGGGAGCAGGGCCAGTCATAAGAAATCCAACTCATGCAAAATTTATTTGTAGTTTTATACTTTAACTTCAATATTAACACACACATTATATTCTACTCTGTATGCATGTGATTTAAAGAAAAATAAATATTTCAGAATTTTTACCATCAAGTAAAATTGATGCTATATGTTTACCTTCTGGTTTAGTGCAACTCTGGCCCACTCTCTAGTTTAAGAAGCCCAAATTTATGTAAAAGCACAAATGGAGTGTATTCTAGTGCACAACAGATGCTAGTAAGTATTCGTTTTCTCTTTCATTTCTCTCATGTTGTTTCAGAAGCCAAAAGCAGATTTCATGTCACCTACAGCTTTCTCTCTCCCTCTTCCTGCCTGAAAAGCACATAGGAGAGTAGAAAATAAACTAGCTGCTGGGAAGTCCTCAATCAGGGACAATTTTGATTCCCCAGGGCATAGTTGGCAATGCTAAGACATTTTTCATTGTCACAACTAGGGAAGTGTGGCACAGGATACTGGTATCTACTGGATAGAGGCCAGGGGCGCTGCTAAATATTCCTATAATGCACAGACTAGGCTCTCACAACAAAGAATTATCCAGCCTGAAATGTGTATCGTGCTGAAATTATGAAACCTTGAGCTATAAGTAACTGGCCCCAATGCGACCCTCCACAGCAGAGACCCAAGCTAAGTGATCTATGCAGGAGTACTTTATTCTTTGCCAGGCTGTAGGCACTCCCACGCTTCATGGACCTAAATTTAAACTTGAGCTAGTTGAAAACTAGTTCAAAGTCTTTACTAGATTCTGATTTTGTTCAGAAATGAAAAGCTTACTTTTCCAAGGAATTTAAAATAGAATTCTGCCAAACAGTCAGTGGTATTAGTTTCTTTATACTATATTCCATATTCCCCTGCAGAGTACTAAAAAAAACCCTATAAACTAATTCATTTACATTCTAAGGACTAATTGTGACTTGTATTCTAACCTTATGCTTTCTGCAAAAAGTGTGAAAGATCAAAATACTCCATTTGATGCCAATGCTTGATCCAAGAAGATACACACACACCTGTAGATTCTTCAGGGGATTTAAATAATGCTCTTCACCCTCAGCCAGGAAGTGGGATGTGTCATTTCACAATGTGGTTGCTGAAGAATAAACTCCTAAATGAATCTGCCCTTCTCACTCTCCTCTTTCCTCAACCTGGCATTCATGGCCTGCTTGTTGACATATATATCATGCCAAATGGTGCTCAGAAGTCACAGCACCAGTGGGGACTGAGCTGAGAAGTGTTTCAGAAATAAGAATATCCTTGAGGGGAAAGATGTGAAAATTAATAGGAGTGAGACAAGTTGTAATGGAAATTTAGCAAATAGATATTTACCTGTGAACATGACAAAATGTGTGTTAAATCATATTAATTATATTTTTATATACCAAAGAGCACTGCCACCCAGACTCCATATGTGCCACAGTACAGACAATTTTTTTTAAAGCCTGGTCGACTTTTCCATATTTGGTTTCTTCTCATCTCTGGGCACAAGAAACACTGAACTTAATGGTCAGTACATGGAAACTAAGAAGGAAAACTCTTGGAACCCGATATAAGCCAAAAATGGCCAGAAAACTTGAGAGTCAACCAATGAAGTACTCGTGCTTTCCAAAGAGCTTTGGTCTGCTAGAAACTCTCAGTGACAAGAATGCCTAGTTTCATTTGACAGGGTTCAGAGTCAAGCACTACCCTTAGACCTGGACAGGAGGCTGTCCTGCCCTAATCCCATGCTCTTGAGTGATCCCCACTCTAAGGGATGAGGAGCCAACAGGACCAGAACTGCCCAGCTGCCCAAAGGCCATGCTCTGGAGGCTCAGGACCTGTAATTCCTGCTCAAACAGCCCCAAACTTCCTCTAAGAGCCACATAAGCCTTTCCCAGGTTTGTTCTTTCTTTCCAACAGAGCACCTGGGCTTGAGGAGTGAGCAAAAGGCATTTGCACATGGTGTTTTTAAAAAGGTAAGGGGAATGCAGCTTGGGAATACACGCTAGGTAGGGTACCCACACTTAGTAAGCCAGGCCCTCATGGTGCAGAACAGAGCAAGGGACGGAAGAGAAGGGCTGAAGGCAAGTTGAGAAGAATAGAGGTCAAGTCCCCAGGACAATGAACATTCAACTCTTTGAATACTGCCACAATCTGGCTAACTTCAAAAAGTTTAAGAGGCTGGACAAGGTGGCTCATTCCTGTACTACCAGCACTTTAGGAGGCCAGTGTGGGAGGATCCCCTAAGCCAAGTAGTTTGAGAACAGCCCTGGCAACATGGGGAGACCGCATCTCTCCAAAATAAAAATTAGCTGGGCATAGTGGCACACACCTGTAGTCCCAGCTACGCAGGAGGCTGATGTGGGAGAATCAGTTGAGCCAGGGAGGTCAAAGCTACAGTAAACTATGATTGTACCACTGCACTCCAGCCTTGGTGACAGAGGAAGACCCTGTTTCAAAAAAAAAAAAAAATTAAGAATTCTAAATGGGAATCTGATTTTTTATGTCTTTAAGAAAAAAAAAAAAAAAAAAAGCAACCATTTTTTCCTGTGCTGCTTAGCACAGAGTTTTACTGTTGTTTATGATCCTAGCCAATTTAATAAATAAAATGAAATCCCAGTGAAATTTTAATTGCATTTCTGAGGCTCATGAATTCTTCTAGGCTTATTGGACATTTATAGTTCTTCTGTGAATTGCTTTTTCATTTCCTTTTTATATTTTCCGTAAAAAGCATATTTGTGTTTTTATTGATTTCACAAGTCTCTTAGAAATGATACTTTGTTATAATATGTAGTAAATAGATTTTTTCTCATGTCCTAATATAATTTTAAATCTTTTACAATTATAAGTTGTTATTAGTTTGTTTGCTCTATTGGTCTTTTATGCTTTCAAGCTTTGATGCCATGCTTAGAGAAACCTTTTCCACTCACAAATTATATAAATACAATATATATCTTACATTTATTTTAAGTATTTGTATGAGTTTACTTTTCTACATTTAAATCTTTAAATCTTTTCCATTTGGAAAATATTTTGGGGTAAGTTGTTAAAAATGCATTAATTATTTTTACAGCTATACTTGACAAACGTTATATACTATTTGTTCAATAATGCAGACTTTTTTACTGTTATGAAATAAATTTATCATATATAAAAAAAAAAAAAAAGAAGGTGTTTTGTCAAGATGGGTAAATAGAACATTTTATTTAACAGTCTGGTAGCTTAATTTATAACTTTTAAATATTTAACCATGAGAAATGTGGGCTTCCATTTGTTCTCTTATTCCATTTCTGAAAATAAAACAATGTGAGAGTTGTTCCTCATCAAAGTCCTGCCTCCCATAATAGCTTTTGCCATATCTGGTTCACTGGAGGTGGTTTTGCTCTTAACTTCACTGTATCTTAACTATGTTTCCCCTGCCTCTTAGAGTTTGGATGGCACCATGTATTCCAATTTGTTGGGCATTTTTTATCCACAATCTGCTCTCTGACAATCTGCTAATTAGACCTTTGTTTCTAGGTAGCTTCTTGAACTGGATTTAACCTTGCATTTTTGACCCTTTCCTTACCCTTCTCACCCTCCTCTGTCCCAGGCAGGCACCCACATTCATGCTTTATTGTCCCTCCCCTATAACTCCTTTTATAAAGTCTGATTCATTTCAGGCCCTTTGTGTGTTCCTTCCTGGCTTCATCTATCGTGACTGCCTGCCAATTTCTCACAATCTCTGCTCCTCCGCTCAGCATAATTTCTGGCTGCTTCTCAGTTCTCATTCTTTAGCAATTTCAATTGCTTACACCCAATGAGCATTTGCCTTCTTCCTTTGCTTCTTGTATCTTTATGGGAGATAGGAAATTGTTTATTCCCAATTTTGGTATTCTTCCTCTCAATGCCTCCCAGACATTGAGTCTCCACCCCACTGGGGGGTAAGAATAACAATAATAATAATTTTAAAAATTGCTTTTGTAAGAATGGAAAGGGAGCGATCCCATTCCTCCCCATCATAAAGGTCACGGCTGGCACTACTCTAACAAAGACAAGTTCAGAAGAGAAAAGCGTGACAGACTTATTTGATCAGAGTTTTATGTAACACAGGATTTATGCTTAGGTTGAATGGAGTATGGACAGCCATGTAAAAATATGATAGGACAAAACAGGTATAATCTAATGCCAAGAGACTTCAGTGTGGAAACTCAGCAAGACCTGTCCAAAATTTCTTTTGGACTCTCTGCAGCATTTTTTCCTCTCGGATATGGGGTAGGACCCCTCTGAAATGGGGTCTTAATTTCTTTATGACCAGCTGTTATACAGAAAGGCAGTTTGCTGGGAGCTGAGAGTAATATTTTTAGGTTTTATTGCTGGCTTTGGGGAAAAAATGGCTCTGGTTTCTCTGACCTGCCCAGGGGAACAGAGATTCTCATTTCTATGCCTTGCCTCAGGGGAGAATGAGGGGGAAGAGACAAGAAGACAGGAGAAGGTCAGACAGAGACTTTGCTTCTAAGGCTGTTCCTTGGGCCTTTTGTTGGGGTGTTGTTTTCTGAGCCCCAGCACTTCTACTCCAACACTGACTAGATTGCAGCTGGCTTTTGAAGCTGGGATACTGCCATATTCACCAGTGACTTTCCAATCATTGCTTCGCTTTCATTTCCTCTCAATTTCTTTTTTCTCTTTTAATAAAAGTTGCCAAGCAACTTTATAAAGTGACTATAAATATAGGAAAGTTAAAATCCTTTACCAAGACCACTTTATATATCTAAATATGAGTTACTAAGGTGGCTGAGAGGCTCTCTTGTGCTTGTGTGTTTATGTGGCTTTGAGATTATGTGTTTTATTTTATAGATAAGATTAGTGATTATTTAGGTTGATAAAATGACATGAAGCTTTTTGAAAATTTATCATGGAGGCCAGGCATGGTGGCTCATGCCTGTAATCCCAGCACTTTGGGAGGCCGAGGCAGGCAGATCACCTGAGGTCAGGAGTTAAAGTCTAGCCTGGCTAACATAGTGAAATGCTGTCTCTACTAAAAATGCAAGAGTTAGCTGGGCCTGGTGTCAGGCACCTGTCATCCCACCTACTTGGGAGGCTGAGGCGGGAGAATCGCTTGAACCTGGGAGGTAGAGTTTGCAGTGAGCAGAGATCACACCACTGAGCTCCAGCCTGGGCGACAAGAATGAAACTCCGTCTCAAAAAGAAGAAAAAAAAATTGCCCTGGAATTGCAAGACTCACTATGCTGGAAAGAACCTTAGAGATTATCCAGACCCAATCCCTTGTTTGCTAGTGGAGAGACTTGGAACAGAAATTTAAGCAGTTCACCAAATAATAAATTATAGCTATTATTTATAGTTTATGTGCTGAGGACCTCATCTAATACTTAAAGCAAGTCATTCCTATAGCAAATATACTATTTTATGGTAAAATTTTAGAAATATTCCTATTAAAACCAGGAACAAGGCAATGATGACTTTTATTACTGCCACTCTTTGACATTTTTCTAGAGGGCCAGGCCTAATAAGATAAGAAAAAGAGTATTTTATATATAAGGAACACTTAGAAATGTTTAGGTGGCCATAAGGACTGACAGTTTGAATCACATGAAAAATTAAAACTTTTATGTTAAAAAAGTGACAATGTAAACAAAGTTAAGAAACAAATGAAAAATGGGGAAAATATTTGGAGTCTACATGGAGACACAAGATTAATATGTACAGTATGTAAATCAGTTAAAAAGAATTAAATACCAAGAGAAAAATGAGCCAAAAAATATAAATAGAAGATGAAATTCAATGGGCCAATAAATGTGAAGCATCATACTAGCATCAGATCTGAGGTAAATGAGAAAAAAAAAGTTGGTTGTATAAAGCCACCAAAATCATACTGTAGTAAGTTTTGTATTAAATCTCCTGACAAGTCATCATCACGGCAGATGGGAGGCAGGAATAGATTGTAGTTCCAACTCAGACGGACAGAGCAGCATGCAGAGGCTCACATAGTAACTGCAAGCACAAACCAGCAATCCCAAGAGGACCCACAGACCCTCTGAAGGAAGCAGATTGCTCCTGCAGGACCCAGGAGACACCCCAAATACTGTGAGTGCCCCAACTGCAGAAGTGAGAAAGGGAGAGCCTCCTCTCCAGAACACACATCCCACAGGAGAAACCAAAGGTCTGTTTGCGGGAGAAGTTTCTGACCTTACCTGGAGCTGAGTCAATTCAGAGAACCAAGCAAAACACAGAGGTAGAGAAAGCAGCAGAAAGGCCCTGGAAGCTCACCGGATCCCCAGGCAGGCCATTTCTGCATGGCATCACAGTGATCCATCGAGAGGGTGGACAGAGGAATCAGAGGGCAGGGGTGAACACCACAGGGAGAAGGAAATCTCCAGATAACTTGGTAACAATTTGAACTGGGTGAGAAGCCTCCTGGCCAGAACTCAGAGGAGGGCACAAATCCAGTGTGCAGACTCCACAGGCAGGAGAAGAACTAAGCCCTTTTCTTTTGCAGCTGGGAGGTGGGTAACCTGGGGCAAGTTCTCAAGCCCAGCTTACTCAACACCTGGAAACAGACTTGGAGCTATTAAGGGGGGCACGGTGGGAGTGAGACCAGCCCTTTGGTTTGCACGGGAGCTGGGTGAGGCCTGTGACTGCCGGCTTTCCCCTGCTTCCCCGAGAACCTGCATGACTCAGCAGAGGCAGCCATAATCCTCCTAGGTACACAACTCCATTGACCTGGAACCTCACCCCCATCCCCCATAGCAGCAGCAGCAAGACCTGCCCAAGGAGAGTCTGAGCTCAGACACGCCCAGCCCTGCCTCCAACTGATAGTCCTTCTCTACCCACTCTGGTAGCTGGAGACAAAGGGCATACAATCTCAGGAGTTCTAGGGCCCCAGTCACTGCTGGTTCCTCTCCATATACCACAGCTAATGCTCTTTGGAAAACACCATGTCCCAGCAGGAAGCCAACCAGAACAAAAATAGAGCATAAACCCTCACAAAGTCCATTGCACCTCCCTGCCACTTCCATCAGAACAGGCACTGGTATCCACAGCTAAGAGACCCACAGATGGTTCACATCACAGGACTCTGTGCAGACAACCTCCAGTACCAGCCCCAGAGCCTGCTAGAATTCCTGGGCAGCTAGACCCAGAAGAGAGACAACAATCGCTGCAGTTTGGCTCACAGGAAGCCACACTGATGGGAAAAGGGGGAGAGTATTACATCAAGGGAACACCCCATGGGACAAAAGAATCTGAACAACAGACTTCATCCCTAGACCTTCCCTCTGACAGAGCCTACCCAAATGAGAAGGAACCAGGAAACCAACTCTGGTAATATGACAAAACAAGGCTCTTTAACACCCCCACAAAAAAATCAAACTAGTTCACCAGCAATGGATCCAAACCAAGAAGAAAACCTTGATTTGCCTAAAAAAGAATTCAGGAGGTTAGTTATTAAGCTAATAAGGGAGGCACCAGAGAAAGGCAAAGTCCAATGCAAGAAAATCTAAAATAACAATACAAGAAGTAAAGGGAGAAATATTCAAGGAAATAGATAGTTTAAGGAAAAAATAATCAAAAATTCAGGAAACATTGGACACACTTATAGCAATGCAAAATGCTCTGGAAAGTCTCAGCAATAGAACCAAACAAGTGGAAGAAAGAAATTCAGAGCTTCAAATTAACCCAATCCAATAAAGACAAAGAAAAAAGAATAAGAAAATACGAACAAAGCCTCCAAGAAGTCTGTGATTATGTTAAGCAATCAAACCTAAGAATAATAGGTGTTCCTGAGGAGGAAGAGAATTCTAAAATCTTGGAAAACATATTTGGGGGAATAATTGAGGAAAACTTCCCCAGCCTTGCTAGAGACCTAGACATCCAAATACAAGAGGCACAAAGGACACCTGGGAAATTCATCACAAAAAGACCATCGCCTAGGCACATTGTCGTCAGGTTATCAGAAGTTAAGGCAAAGAAAAGAATCTTAAGAGCTGTGAAACAGAAGCACCGGGTAACCTATAAAGGAAAACCTATCAATTAACAGAGATTTCTCAGCAGAAACCCTACAAGCTAGCAAGGATTGGGGGCCCCTATCTTCAGCCTCCTCAACAAAACAATTATTTAGCCAAGGATTTTGTATCCAGCAAAACTAAGCATCTTATATGAAGGAAAGGTACACTCTTTTTCAGACAAATGCTGAGAGAATTCACCACTACCAAGCCACCACTACAGGAACTGCTAAAAGGAGTTCTAATTTTTGAAACAAATCCTGGAAACACATCAAATCAGAACCTCTTTAAAGCATAAATCACACAGGACCTATAAAACAAAAATACAAGTTAAGAAGCAAAAACAAAAAAACAACCAAAGTACACAGGCAACAAATAGCATGATGAATGCAATGGTACCTCACATCTCAATACTAACACTGAATGTAAATAGCCGAAATGCTCCACTTAAAAGGTACAGAACTGCAGAATGGATAAGAACTCATGAACCAACTATCTGCTGCCTTCAGGAGACTCACCTAACACATAAGGACTCACATAAACTTAAAGGGGTGGAAAAAGGCATCTCATGCAAATGGACACCAAAAGGGGGCAGGAGTAGATATTCTTATATTAGACAAAATAAATTTTAAAGTAACAGCAGTTAAAAGAGACAAAGAAGGACATTATAAAATGGTAAAAGGCTTTGTCCAACAGGAAAATATCACAATCCTAAACATATATGCACCTAACACTGGAGCTCCCAAATTTATAAAACAATTACTAAAAGATCTAAGAAATGAGATAAACAGCAACACAATAGTGGGGGACTTCAATACTCCACTGACATGACTAGACAGGTAATGAAGACAGAAGGTCAACAAAGAAACAATGGATTTAAACTATACCTTGGAACAAATGGACTTAACAGATATATACAGAACATTTCATCCAACAACTGCAGAATACACATTCTATTCAAAAGCACATGGAACTCTCTCCAAGATAGACCATATGATAGGCCATAAAACAAGCCTCAATAAACTTAAGAAAATTGAAATTATACCAAGCACTCTCTCAGATCACAGTGGAATAAACCTGGAAATCAACTCCAAAGGAACTTTCAAAACCATGCAAATATGTGGAAATTAAATAACCTGCTCCTGAATGAGCATTGGGTCAACAGCAAAATCAAGATGGAAATTTAAAAATTCTTTGAACTGAATGACAATAATAACACAATCTGTTAAAAACTCTGGGATGCAGCAAAATTGGTGCTGTGAGGAAGTTCATAGCACTAAATGCCTACATCAAAAAGACTGAAAGAGCACAAACTGACATTCTAAGGTCACACTCAAGGAACTAGAGAAACAAGAACAAACCAAACCCAAACCGAGCAGAAGAAAGGAAATAGCCAAGATCACAGCAGAACTAAATGAAATTGAAACAAACAAACAAAAAAAAGATAATGAAACAAGAAACCAGTTCTTTGAAAAGATAAATAAAATTGATAGACCATTAGCAAGATTAACCAAGAAAACAAGAGAGAAAATACAAACAACCTCATTAAGAAATGAAACAGGAGACATTACAACTGACACCACTGAAATACAAAAGACTATGAATACCTTTATGCACATAAACTAGAAAACCTAGACGAGATGGATAAATTCCCGGAAAAATACAACCCTCCTAGCTTAAATCAGGAAGAATTAGATATCCTGAACAGACCAAAAACAAGCAGTGAGACTGAAATGGTAATTTTTTTTTATTATGCTTTAAGTTCTAGGGTACATGTCCACAACCTGCAGGTTTATTACATAAGTATACATGTGCCATGTTGGTGTGCTGCACCCATTAACTCATCATTTACATTAGGTATATCTCTTAATGCTATCCCTCCCCCCTCCCCTGACCCCACAACAGGACCCAGTGTGTGATGTTCCCCTTCCTGTGTCCAAGTGTTCCCATTGTTCAATTCCCACCTATGAGTGAGAACATGCGGTGTTTGGTTTTTTGTCCTTGCGATAGTTTGCTGAGAATGATGGTTTCCAGCTTCATCCATGTCCCTACAAAGGACATGAACTCATCATTTTTTATGGCTGCATAGTATTCCATGGTATATATGTGGCACATTTTCTTAATCCAGTCTATCATTGTTGGACATTTGGGTTGGTTCCAAGTCTTTGCTATTGTGAATAGTGCCATAATAAACATATGTGTGCATGTGTCTTCATAGCAGCATGATTTATAATCCTTTGGGTATATATCCAGTTATGGGATGGCTGGGTCAAATGGTATTTCTAGTTCTAGATCCTTGAGGAATCGCCATACTGTCTTCCACAGTGGTTGAACTAGTTTACAGTTCCACTAACAGTGTAAAAGTGTTCCTATTTCTCCACATCCTCTCCAGTACCTGTTGTTTCCTGACTTTTTAATGATCGCCATTCTAACTGGTGTGAGATGGTATCTTATTGTGGTTTTGATTTGCATTTCTCTGATGGCCAGTGATGATGAGCATTTTTTCATGTGTCTGTTGGCTGCATAAATGTCTTCTTTTGAGAAGTGTCTGTTCATATCCTTTGCCCACTTTTTGATGGGATTGTTTGTTTTTTTCTTTTAAGTTTGTTTGAGTTCTTTGCAGATTCTGGATATTAGCCCTTTGTCAGATGAGTAGATTGCAAAAATTTTCTCCCATTTTGTAGGTTGCCTGTTCGCTCTGATGGTAGTTTCTTTTGCTGTGCAGAAACTCTTTCATTTAATTAGATCCCATCTGTCAATTTTGGTTTTTGTTGCCATTTGTTTTGGTGTTTTAGTCATGAAGTCCTTGCCCATGCCTATGTCCTGAATGGTATTGCCTAGGTTTTCTTCTAGGGTTTTTATGGTTTTAGGTCTAACAGGTAAGTCTTTAATCCATCTTGAATTAATTTTTGTATAAGGTGTAAGAAAGGGATCCAGTTTCAGCTTTCTAAATATGGCTAGCCAGTTTTTCCAGCACCATTTATTAAATTGGGAATTCTTTCCCCATTTCTTGTTTCTGTCAGGTTTGTCAAAGACCAGATTGTTGTAGATGTGCGGTATTATTTCTGAGGGCTCTGTTCTGCTCCATTGGTCTATATCTCTGTTGTGGTACCAGTACCATGCTGCTTTGGTTACTGTAGCCTTGTAGTATAGTTTGAAGTCAGGTAGTGTGATGCCTCCAGCTTTGTTCTTTTGGCTTAGGATTGACTTGGCAATGCGGGCTCTTTTTTGGTTCCATATGAACGTTCAAGTAGTTTTTTCCAATTCTGTGAAGAAAGTCATTGGTAGCTTGATGGGGATAGCATTGAATCTATAAATTACCTTGGGCAGTATGGTCATTTTCACGATATTGATTCTTCCTACCCATGAGCATGGAATGTTCTTCCATTTGTTTGTATCCTCTTTTATTTCATTGAGCAGTGGTTTGTAGTTCTTCTTGAAGAGGTCCTTCACATCCCTTGTAAGTTGGATTCCTAGGTATTTTATTCTCTTTGAAGCAAATGTGAATGGGAGTTCACTCATGATTTGGCTCTCTGTTTGTCTGTTATTCGTGTATAAGAATGCTTGTGATTTTTGCACATTGATTTTGTATCCTGAGACTTTGCTGAAGTTGCTTATCAGCTTAAGGAGATTTTGGCCTGAGACGATGGGGTTTTCTAAATATACAATCATGTCATCTGTAAACAGGGACAATTTGACTTCCTCTTTTCCTAATTGAATACCCTTTATTTCTTTCTCCTGCCTGATTGCCCTGGCCAGAAATTCCAACACTATGTTGAATAGGAGTGATGAGAGAGGGCATCCCTGCCTTGTGCCAGTTTTCAAAGGGAATGCTTCCAGTTTTTGCCCATTCAGTATGATATTGGCTGTGGGTTTGTCATAAATAGCTCTTATTATTTTGAGATATGTCCCATCAATACCTAATTTATTGAGAGTTTTTAGCATGAAGGGTTGTTGAATTTTGTCAAAGGCCTTTTCTGTATGTATTGAGATCATCATGTGGTTTTTGTCGTTGGTTCTGTTTATATGCTGGATTACGTTTATTGATTTGCGTATGTTGAACCACCCTTGCATCCCAGGGATAAAGCCCACTTGATCATGGTGCATAAGCTTTTTGATGTATTGCTGGATTCAGTTTGCCAGTATTTTATTGAGGATTTTTGCATCAATGTTCATCAGGGATATTGGTCTAAAATTCTCTTTTTTTGTTGTATCTCTGCCAGGCTTTGGTATCAGGATGATGCTGGCCTCATAAAATGAGTTAGGGAGGATTCCCTCTTTTTCTATTGATTGGAATAGTTTCAGAAGGAATGGTACCAGTTCCTCCTTGTACCTCTGGTAGAATTCGGCTGTGACTCCATCTGGTCCTCGACTTTTTTTGGTTGGTAGGCTATTATTATTGTCTCAATTTCAGAGCCTGTTGTTGGTCTATTTAGGGATTCAACTTCTTCCTGGCTTAGTCTTGGGAGGGTGTATGTGTCCAGGAATTTATCCATTTCTTCTAGATTTTCCAGTTTATTTGCATAGAGGTGTTTATAGTATTCTCTGATGGTAGTTTGTATTTCTGTGGGATTGGTGGTGATATCCCCTTTATCATTTTTCATTGCGTCTGTTTGAATCTTCTCTCTTTTCTTCTTTATTAGTCTTGCTAGCAGTCTATCAATTTTGTTGATCTTTTCAAAAAACCAGCTCCTGGATTCATTGACATTTGAAGGATTTTTTGTGTCTCTATCACCTTCAGTTCTTCTCTGATCTTAGTTATTTCTTGCCTTCTGCCAGCTTTTGAATGTGTTTGCTCTTGCTTCTCTAGTTCTATTAATGTGATATTAGGATGTCAATTTTAGATCTTTCCTGCTTTCTCTTGTGGGAATTTAGTGCTATAAATTACACACTGCCTTAAATGTATCCCAGAGATTCTGGTATGTTGTGTCTTTGTTCTCTTTGGTTTCAAAGAACATCTTTATTTCTGCCTTCATTTTGTTACATACCCAGTAGTCATTCGTGAGCAGGTTGTTCACTTTCCACATAGTTGAGCCGTTTTGAGTGAGTTTCTTAATCCTGAGTTCTAGTTTGATTGCACTGTGGTCTGAGAGACAGTTTGTTAAATTTCTGTTCTTTTACATTTGTTGAGGAGTGCTTTACTTCCAACTATGTGGTCAATTTTCGAATAAGTGCGATGTGGTGCTGAGAAGAATGTATATTCTGTTGATTTGGGGTGTAGAGTTCTGTAGATGTCTATTAGGTCTGCTTGGTGCAGAGCTGAGTTCAATTCCTGGATATCCTTTTTAACTTTCTGTCTCGTTGATCTGTCTAATGTTGACAGTGGGGTGTTAAAGTCTCCCATTATTATTGTGTGGGAGTCTAAGTCTCTTCATAGGTCTCTAAGAACTTGCCTTATGAATCTGGGTGCTCCTGTATTGAATGCATATATATTTAGGATAGTTCGTTTTTCTTGTTGAATTGATCCCTTTACCATTATGTAATGGCCTTCTTTGTCTCTTTTGATCTTTGTTGGCTTAAAGTCTGTTTTATCAGAGACTAGGATTGCAACCCCTGCCGTCTTTTGTTTTCCACTTGCTTGGTAGATCTTCCTCCATCCCTTTATTTTGAGCATATGTGTGTCTCTGCACATGAGATGTGTCTACTGAATACAGCACACTGATGGGTCTTGACTCTTTATCCAATTTGCCAGTCTGTGTCTTTTAATTGGAGCATTTAGCCCATTTACATTTAAGGTTAATATTGTTATGTGTGAATTTGATCCTGTCATTATGATGTTAGCTGGTTATTTTGCTCGTTATTTGATGCAGTTTCTTTCTAGCATCAATGGTCTTTACAATTTGGCATGTTTCTGCAGTGGCTGGTACTGGTTGTTCCTTTCCATGTTTAGTGCTTCCTTCAGGAGCTCTTTTAGGGCAGGCCTGATGGTGACAAAATCTCTCAGCATATGCTTGTCTGTAAAGGATTTTATTTCTCCTTCACTTATGAAGCTTAGTTTGGCTGGATATGAAATTCTGGGTTGAAAACTCTTTTCTTTAAGAATGTTGAATATTGGCCCCCACTCTCTTCTGGCTTGTTGAGTTTCTGCTGAGAGATCAGCTGTTAGTCTGATGGGCTTCCCTTTATGGGTAACCCGATCTTTCTCTCTGGCTGCCCTTAACGTTTTTTCCTTCATTTCAACTTTGGCGACTCTGACAATTATGTGTCTTGGAGTTGCTTTTCTTGAGGAGTATCTTTGTGGTGTTCTCTGTATCTCCTGAATTTGGATGTTGGCCTGCCTTGCTAGATTGGGGAAGTTCTCCTGGATAATATCCTGCAGAGTGTTTTCCAACTTGGTTCCATTCTCCCCGTCACTTTCAGGTACACTAATCAGACGTAGATTTGGTCTTTTCACATAGTCCCTTATTTCTTGGAGGCTTTGTTCATTTCTTTTTACTCTTTTTTCTCTAAACTTCTCTTCTCGCTTCATTTCATTCATTTGATCTTCAATCACCGACACACTTCCTTCCAGTTGAGCGAATCGGCTACTGAAGCTTGTGCATTCATCACGTAGTTCTCGTGCCATGTTTTTCAGCTACGTCAGATCATTTAAGGACTTCTCTACACTGGTTATTCTAGTTAGCCATTCATCTAATCTTTTTTCAAGGTTTTTAGCTTCTTTGTAATGGGTTCGAACTTTCTCTTTTAGCTCAGAGAAGTTTGATCGTCTGAAGCCTTCTTCTCTCAACTTGTCAAAGTCATTCTTCATCCAGCTTTGTTCCATTGCTGGCGAGGAGCTGCATTCCTTTGGAGGGGGAGAGGTGCTCTGATTTTTAGAATTTTCAGCTTTTCTGCTCTGCTTTTTCCCCATCTTTGTGGTTTTATCTACGTTTGGTCTTTGATGATGGTGATGTACAGATGGGGTTTTGTTGTGGGTGTCCTTTCTGTTTGTTAGTTTTCCTTCTAACAGTCAGGACCCTCAGCTGCAGGTCTGTTGGAATTTGCTGGAGGTCCACTCCCAGACCCTGTTTGCCTGGGTATCAGCAGCAGTGGCTGCAGAACAGTGAATATTGCTGAACAGCCAATGTTGCTGCCTGATCGTTCCTCTGGAAGCTTCGTCTCAGAGGGGTACCCTGCCGTGTGGGGTGTCAGTCTGCCCCTACTGGGGGGTGCCTCCCAGTTAGGCTACTCGGGTTCAGGGACCCACTTGAGGAGGCAGTCTGTCCGTTCTTAGATCTCAAACTCCATGCTGGGAGAACCACTACTCTCTTCAAAGCTGTCAGACAGGGACATGTAAGTCTGCAGAGGTTTCTGCTGCCTTTTGTTCAGCTATGCCCTGCCCCCAGAGGTGGAGTCTATAAAGGCAGGCAGGCCTCCTTGAGCAGTGGTGGGCTCCACCCAGTTCGAGCTTCCTTGCCACTTTGTTTACCTACTCAAGCCTTAGCAAGGGCGGGCTCCCCTCCCCTAGCCTCGCTGCCACCTTGCAGTTCAATCTCAGATTGCTGTGCTAGCAATAAGCAAGGGTCCGTGGGCATGGGACCCTCTGCGCCAGGTGCGTGATATAATCTCCCAGTGTGCTGTTTGCTAAGACTGTTGGAAAAGTGCAGTATTAGGGTGGGAATGACCCGATTTTCCAGATGCCATCTGTCACAGCTTCCCTTGGCTAGGCAAGGGAATTCCCTGACCCCTTGCACTTCCCAGGTGAGGTGATGCCTCGCCCTGCTTCGGCTCATGCTCGGTGGGCTGCACCCACTGTCCTGCACCCACTGTCCAACAAGCCCTAGTGAGATGAACCTGGTTCCTCAGTTGGAAATGCAGAAATCACCCGTCCTCTGTATCGCTTACACTAGGAGCTGTAGACTGGAGCTGTTCCTATTTGGCCATCTGAAATGGTAATTTAAAAATTACCAACAAAAAAAAATCCCAGGATGAGACGGATTCACAGCAGAATTCTACCAGACATTCAAAGAAGAATTGGTACCAATCCTATTGACACTATTCCACAAGACAGAGAAAGAAGGAACTCTCCCTGATTCATTCTATGAAGCCAGCATCACCCTAGTGTCAAAACCAGGAAATGACATAACCAAAAAAGAAAACTACAGACTGATATCCTTGAAGAACATAGATGGTAAAATCCTTAACAAAATACTAGCTAACTGAATCCAACAACATATCAAAAAGATAATACACCATGATCAAGTGGGTTTCATACCAGGGATGCAGGGATGGTTTAACATACACAAATCAATAAATGTGATATACCACATAAGCAGAATTAAAAACAAAAATTACATGATCATCTCAATAAATGCAGAAAAATATTTGACAAAATCCACTATCCCATTATGATTAAAACTCTCAGCAAAATTGGCATAGAAGGGACATACCTCAATGTAATAAAAGCCATCTATGACAAATCCATAACCAACATAATACTGAAGGGGGAAAAGTTGAAAGCATTCCCTCTGAGAACTGGAATAAGACAAGGATGCCCATTCTCACCACTCCTCTTCAGCACAGTACTGGAAGTCCTAGCCAGAGCAATCAGACAACAGAAAGAAATAATGGGCATCCAAATCAGTAAAGAGGAAGTCAAACTGTCACAGTTTGCTGACAATATGATCATATATCTCGAAAACCCTAAAGACTCCTCCAGAAAGCTTCTAGAAATGATAAAAGAAGTAAGCAAAGTTTCTGGATATAAGATTAATTTACACAAATCAGTAGCTCTTCTATACACCAACAGCAACCAAGTGAAGAATCAAATCCAGAACTCAACACCTTTCACAATAACTGTAAAAAATAAAAATACTTGGGTATTCCTGAGTACCTAACCAAGGAGTCAAAAGACCCCTACAAGGAAAACTTAAAAACACTGCTGAAAGAAATAGATGACACAGACAAATGGAAACACATCCCATGCTCATGGATGGGTAGAATCAATATTATGAAAATGACCATACTGCCAAAAGCAATCCAAAAATTCAATGCAATCCCCATCAAAATACCACCATCATTCTTCACAGAATTAGAAAAAACAATTCTAAAATTCATATGGAACCAGAAAAGAGCCAGCCCACATAGCCAAAGCATGACAAAGCAAAAAGAACAAATCTGGAGGCATCACACTACCCTGATTTCAAACCATACGATAGGCCATCGTCACCAAAACAACATTTTATACATATAAAAATAGGTATATAGACCAATGGAACAGAATAGAGAACTCAGAAATAAACCCAAATACTTACAGCCAACTGATTTTGAACAAAGCAAACAAAAACATGAAGTAGGGAAAGGACACCCTTTTCAACAAACGGTGCTGGGATAATCGGCTAGCCACATGTAGGAGAATGAAACTGAATCCCCATCACTCATCTTATACAAAAATCAACTCAAGATGGATTAAAGACTTAAATCTAAGACCTGAAACTATAAAAATTCTAGAAGATAACATTGGAAAAACCTTTCTAGATGTTGGCTTAGGCAAAGATTCCATGACCAAGAACCCAAAAGCAAATGCAATAAAAACAAAGATAAGTAGTCGGGATTTAATTAAACTAAAGGGCTTTTGCAAGGCAAAAGGAACAGCCAGCAGAGTAAACAGACAACCCACATAGTGGTAGAAAATCTTCACAATCTATACATCTGACAAAAGACTAATATCCAGAATCTACAATGAACTCAAACAAATCAATAAGAAAAAAACAAAAATCCCATCAAAAAGTGGGCTAATGACATGAATAGACAATTCTCAGAAGAAGATATACAAATGGCCGATGATATGGTTTGGCTCTGTGTCCCCACCTAAATCTCATCTTGAATTGCCCTCCCATAATTCCCAGGTGTTAAGGGAGAGATCCAGTGGGAGATAATTTGAATCATGGGGGCGGTTTCCCCCATACCATTCTCATGGTAGTGAATGAGTCTCACGAGATCTGATGGTCTTTTCAGGGGATTCTGCTTTTGCATCTTCCTCATTTTTTCTCTTGCTGCCACCATGTAAGAAGTGCTTCTCACCTCCCACCATGATTCTAAGGCCTCCACAGCCATGTGGAACTGTAAGCCCAATTAAACCTATTTTTCTTCCAAGTCTCGGGTATGTCTTTATTAGCAGCATGAAAATTGACAAATACAGTAAATTGGTACCAATAGAGTGGGGTGTTGCTGAAAAGATACCCGAAAATGTGGAAGCAAATTTGAAACTGGGTATCAGGCAGAGGTTGGAAGAGTTTGGGGAGCTCAGAAGAAGACAGGAAAATGTGGAAAAGTTTGGAACCTCCTAGAGACTTGTTGAATGGCTTTGACAAAAATACTCATAGTGATATGAACAATAAGGTCCAGGCTGAGGTGGTCTCAGATGGAGATGAAGAACTTGCTGGGAACTGGAGTAAAGGCAACTCTTGTTATGTTTAACAGAGACTGGTGGCATTTTGCCCCTGTCCTAGAGATTTGTAGAACTTTGAACTGGAGAGAGATGATTTAGGGTATCTGGTGGAAGAAATTTCTAAGCAGCAAAGCATTCAAAAGGTGACCTGAGTGCTGTTAAAAGCATGCCATTTTAAAAAGGTAACGGCATAAAAGTTCAGAAAATTTACAGCTTGATGCAGCAGAAAGGAAAAACCCATTTTTTTGAGGAGATATTCAAGCTGGCTGCAGAAATCTGCGTAAGTAACAAGGAGCCAAATGTCCTCAAGACAATGGGGAAAATGTCTCCAGAGCATGTCATAGGTCTTCATGGCAGCCCCTCCCATCACTCACCCAGAAGCCTAGGAGGAAAAAATGGTTTCATAGGCCTGGCTCAGGGTCCCCATGCTGTGTGCAGCCTAGTGACTTGGTGCCCTGCATCCCAGCCACTCCAGCCATTGCTAAGGGGCCAAAGTCCAATGTGGTTTCAATGTCCAATATGGTTTCAGAGGGTGCAAGCCCCAAACCTTGGCAGCTTCCACATGGCGTTCGGTCTGTGGGTACACAGAAATCAAGAATTGAGGTTTGGGAACCTCCACCTAGATTTCAGAAAAAGTACGGAAACTCCTGGATGCCCAGGCAAAAGTTTGCTACAGGGGTGGGGCCCTCATGGAGAACTTCTGCTGGGGCAGTGCAGAAGGGAAATATGGGGTCAGAGCCCCTACACAGAATCCTTACAGGGACACTGCCTAGTGAAGCTGTGAGAAGAGGGCCACCATCATCCTGACCTCAGATCCACTGACAGCTTGCACCATGCACCTGGAAAAGCCACAGACACTCAACACCAGCCTGTGAAAGCAGCCAGGAGGCAGGCTATATCCTGCAAAGCCACAAATGTGGAGCCGCCCAAGACTACTGGAACCTACTTCTTGCAACAGCGTGACCTGGATATGAGACATGGTGTCAAAGGAGATTATTCTGGAACTTTAGAATTTGACTTCTCTACTGGATTTCGGACTTACATGGGCCCTATAGCCCCTTTGTTTTGGCCAATGTCTCCCATTTGGAATGGCTGTATATTTACCAAATGCCTGTACCCCCCTTGTACCTAGGAAGTAACTAGCTTGTTATAGATTTAACAGGATCGTAGGAGGAAGGGGCTTGCCTTGTCTCAGATGAGACTTCGGACTGTGGACTTTTGGGTTATGCTGAAATGAGTTAAGGCTTTGGGGGGACGTTGGGAAGGCATGACTGGTTTTGAAATGTAAGGACATGAGATTTGAAGGGGCCCAGGGCATAATGATATGATTTGGCTCTGTGTTCCCACCCAAATCTCATCCTGAATTATACTCCCATAATTCTCATGTGTTGTGGGAGGGACCTGGTGGGAGATATTTTGAATCTGGGGACAGCTCCCCCATACTATTCTCGTGGTAGTGAATAAGTCTCACGAGATTCAATGGCTTTATCAGGGGGTTCTGTTTTTGCATCTTCCTCATTTTTTCTCTTGCCACCACCATGTAAGGAGTGACTTTCACCTCCTGCCATGATTCTGAGGCCTCCCCAGCCATCTGGAGCTGTAAGTCCATTTAAACCTCTTTTTCTTCCCAGTCTCAGGTATGTCTTTATCAGTAGCATGAAAATGAACTAATACAGCCAACAAACATATGCAAAAATGCTCAGCATCACTAATGATCAGGGAAATGCAAATTAAAACCACAATGCAATACCATCTTATGCCTGCAAGAATGGCTATAATCGAAAAATAAAAAAAAACAGTAGATGTTGGCATGGATGCGGTGATCAGGAAACACTTCTACACTGCGTGGGAATGTAAACTAGTACAGCCACTAGGGAAAACAGTGTGGAGATTCCTTAAAGAACTAAAAGTAGAACTACCATTTGATACAGCAATCCCACTACCGGGTATCTACCCAGAGGAAAAGAAGTCATTTTATGAAAAGAATACTTGCACACGCATGTTTATAGCAGCACAATTCACAACTGCAAAATCATGGAACCAACCCAAATGCCCATCCATCAATGAGTGGATAAAGAAACCATTATATATATATATATATATATATTCGTGATATATATATTTTCATGATAGATATATATTTTTGTGATATATATGTATATATATACGATGGAATACTACTCGGTCATAAAAAGGAATGAATTAACAGCATTTGCAGTGACCTGGATGAGACTGGAGACTATTATTCTAAGTGAAGTAACTCAGGAATGGAAAATCAAACATCGTATGTTCTCACCGATATGTGGGAGCTATGCTACAAGGATGCAAAGGCATAAGAATGATACAATGGACTGTGGGGACCTGGGGGGAAGAGTGGGAGGGGGGCAAGGAATAAAAGACTACAAACATAGTGCAGTGTACACTGCTCAGCTGATGGGTGCACCAAAATCTCACAAATCACCACTAAAAAACTTACTTATGTAACCAAATACCACCTGTATCCCAATAACTTACGGGGAAAAATAAAAATTAAATTAAATTAAAACAAATAAATAAAAATTAAAATAAATAAATCTCCAATAGTCACAGCTTTTTCATACCAGACTCATGTCTCATTATCTATCTGCTTCTTTTGAGAACAATATTCCAGAAACTACAACTTTGGGTCTTTTTGTGATGTCATTAATCTGTACTTATTTTCTCCCTTACCCACGTGAGGTTTTTGGTGTGTTTTTGTTTGTTTGTTTTTTCTTTGTATATTTGTTTTTAACTTGGTGGCTGCTACCTTGAAGTTGCTGGGCTACTATGGGGAGACCAAATTCTCTATCTAATCTTTTCCCTGAAGATTTTTAGGTACCTGAGAGGTTTTCAGGGTATTGATTTCTGAAGGCTTGTTTAAATATCTCTTTCATCTAGGATCTCAAAGCAGTTGGCTTCTCCATCACCGCAAGGTCCTGAACTCCCTCTATTCACTACAATGCTTTACTCATTTCACCTCTTTTCTTATATCTTCCTGAAAGTCACCCATAGCACCCAGTACACATAGTTAATGTTCTTTTCCAACTACTTCCTTATGCTTGCTAGCCTTCTATATTACCAAAGATAGTAGTGTTAATATATTTTTACGCTGTATAACATAGATCACCATTTTCCTGGACTCCAGTAGTCTCCCTGCTACCCACTACCTGACAGTGAAGCCAACGAAAGATATTTCAGCTTTTGTTATGATAGCATCCCTCTTCCTATGCCAAATTTTGTATAATCAGAATAGCAATAAGTTTTGCTATCTTAAAAAATGAACCTTGTAACCCTGAGAAAAGTGTGTTTCTTACTCACACAATGTCCAATATGAATTTTTTCAATCCTCAAGAGCAGCTGTCTCAGATCTAGCTCCTTGTGCTCCACCATTTGAACGCAGGACCTTGCTCATTGCTGTTACAGGTAAAAAGACACCGCTAGAAGTTATATTCTGACTCATCTATAGCTCAGACCAGAAATAACGTAAGTATTTCTGCTCACAGCCAGGAGTAATACTGGTTTTATGGCTCCAGCAAGCTGCTTGGGGGCTGGAGAATATGGGAGAGCATGTGGCTATTTGTGAGTACTCCATGACTTTCCCAAACCTCATTTGTAACAAGTGTTTTGTGATACTCTCTTAACTTGCTTGAAAGCGATAAGTACAGACAATTTCACCTGCCTACAGATATAATACCTGTATTAGTTTGCTAGGCCTGCCATAACAATATATCACAGACTGGTAGGCTTAAAAAGCAGAAATTTATTTTCCCACAGTTCTGAAGGCTGGAAGTCCAAGATCAAGATATCAGTTCACTTGGTTTCTCCTGAGGCCTTTCTTCTTGGCTTGCAGAAGGCCTCCCTCTCACTGTGTCTTCATATGGTCTTTTCTCTCTGTGTGCCTATCCCTAATCCCTAGTGAGTCTTCCTCTTCTTAAGAGGCCATCAGTGATATTGGATTAGGGTCCTGCCCTGATGATGTCACCTAACCCTTTAATTACCTCTTTAAAGGCCCTATCACACTGGGGGTTGTACTAGAGTTAGAACTTTAACATAGGAATTTGAGGGGAAAACAAAATTCAGTCCACAAAAACATCAAAATAATCAGTATAATGTCCTAACTATAGTATAAAAGGAAAATTTTTAAAAGTAAATTTATGATAAAATCACATGTATTCCAATATATAATTTCTCAGACATGACTACAATAGAAGACATTTTGAAGTAGTCAGGTGATTGCATCTACTTATAATGAGAATGTTTAGATTTAAGAAAAGAAAGATGATCAGAAGCCAACTATTCAAGGTAGTTGGAAGAAGAAAAGAACAGCAACATGAATAGCACTAGAATAAAACCTGGTAAGATACATATTAATAAACCAAAATCCTTTGTGTAAGATAAGGGAAAGAGAAAAATAACATCGAATAAAGTAAGGATAAATACAAAGATTAGTCACATGCTTTCAAAGTGGAAGAAATGAGTGAAAGTAGGATACCCTCACAAAGATACTCTCACAAATAAGCTAAGCTATAAGTGTAGTGTCAAAAGCATCCTTCTGTTATGACATGAGACAGTGCAAAAATATTATCATCTCTCCTGAAATCTCCCTACATGTTGAAGCATGCATTTAGTCTCAAAATTTACAAAGACTCTAGAAAGCATAGCTTTTAATAGATAAAAATAAAGGGTCATTTTTAAGCAAGGAATTTCAGTACAAAAGACTAAAGAGAACTAGTGTGCTAGGCCTTTGGAGACAGTACTAGAGTAATGTTGAAAAGCAACAGGATCCCAAAAGCAATAACTAATTTCATTATGCAATTTCCAATATATATATTTAACATTGTGTCACTAAAAAAGATAAAAAATATATGTGATGACTATAATATGATCAATAATAATTTCATATTATTGATCAACACTATCTCCTCAAACAGAAGTCCTGATCCACCAGTTTCATAATATGAAACTCTCTTAAGAAACAATAAAATTTAGCAAAATCCTCATTCTTCATGTGATTTCATTAAATAATATTTAATTTTAAGTTTATTCAAAAGAATTTTTTATTCTCTCTATTGTGAATGAACATCACAAATAACAAAATAGTCCAGATTTGTTATTATGGTAATTTAATACCATAATCACTGTTGCTGTCAGTGAAATGATTTTCTGAAATGATGAATAATTCATGGTGAAGTCCCAAACAAAATACGTATAATCTTCACTGAATTAATGTTGTAGTTTTCCTGGAAAATTCAGTATATAATAAAATCTTGTGAAAAATACATAGTATTAACTTGTAAAATAGGTTTGCACTTAAATGATTTTAAATAGGTGCTTCACCCATATGAGTGTCTGCCTGGGACATTTGAAAGTCATTCAGGACATACAAGACTGTTGAACAGGACTGTCCTGCACATTCCTGGAAATTAACCATGCCTGGTCCTTACTTGCTAAATATCAGAAGCTTCCCACCATAACCTTGACAACCCAAAATACTACCATCAATTTCCAAAAGACCCCCTGGGGGGCAGTGTAGCCCTGTTGAGAACCACTGTTCATCTCTAACTGGATACTGTTTTTGAAATCTCTGTTGAGATAATCATGTGGTTTTTGTCTTTGGTTCTGTTTATATGCTGGATTACATTTATTGATTTGCGTATATTGAACCAGCCTTGCATCCCAGGGATGAAGCCCATTTGATCATGGTGGATAAGCTTTTTGATGTGCTGCTGGATTCGGTTTGCCAGTATTTTATTGAGGATTTTTGCATCAATATTCATCAAGGATATTGGTCTAAAATTCTCTTTTTTGGTTGTGTCTCTGCCCGGCTTTGGTATCAGAATGATGCTGGCCTCATAAAATGAGTTAAGGAGGATTCCCTCTTTTTCTATTGATTGGAATAGTTTCAGAAGGAATGGTACCAGTTCCTCCTTGTAACTCTGGTAGAATTCGGCTGTGAATCCATCTGGTCCTGGACACTTTTTGGTTGGTAAGCTATTGATTATTGCCACAATTTCAGAGCCTGTTATTGGTCTATGCAGAGATTCAAATTCTTCCAGGTTTAGTCTTGGGAGAGTGTACGTGTCGAGGAATTTATCCATTTCTTCTAGATTTTCTAGTTTATTTGCGTAGAGGTGTTTGTAGTATTCTCTGATGGTAGTTTGTATTTCTGTGGGATCAGTGGTGATATCCCCTTTATCATTTTTTATTGCATCTATTTGATTCTTCTCTCTTTTTTTCTTTATTAGTCTTGCTAGCAGTCTATTAAGTTTGTTGATCCTTTCAAAAAACCAGCTCCTGGATTCATTAATTTTTTGAAGAGTTTTTTGTGTCTCTATTTCCTTCAGTTCTGCTCTGATTTTAGTTAATTCTTGGCTTCTGCTAGCTTTTGAATGTGTTTGCTCTTGCTTTTCTAGTTCTTTTAATTGTGAAGTTAGGGTGTCAATTTTGGATCTTTCCTGCTTTCTCTTGTGGGCATGTAGACAGAAAAGGCCTTTGACAAAATTCAACAACCCTTCATGCTAAAAACTCTCAATAAATTAGGTATTGACGAGACGTAGCTCAAAATAATAAGAGCTATCTATGACAAACCCACAGCCAATATCATACTGAATGGGCAAAAACTGGAAGCATTCCCTTTGAAAACTGGCACAAGACAGGGATGCCCTCCCTCACCACTCCTATTCAACATAGTGTTGGAAGTTCTGGCCAGGGCAATTAGGCAGGAGAAGGAAATAAAGGGTATTCAATTAGGAAAAGAGGAAGTGAAATTGTCCCTGTTTGCAGACGACATGATTGTATATCTAGAAAACCCCATTGTCTCAGCCCAAAATCTCCTTCAGCTGATAAGCAACTTCAGCAAAGTCTCAGGATACAAAATCAATGTACAAAAATCACAAGCATTCTTATACACCAATAACAGACAAACAGAGAGCCAAATCATGAGTGAACTCCCATTCACAATTGCTTCAAAGAGAATAAAATACCTAGGAATCCAACTTACAAGGGACATGAAGGACCTCTTCAAGGAGAACTACAAACCACTGCTCAATGAAATAAAAGAGGATACAAACAAATGGAAGAACATTCCATGCTCATGGGTAGGAAGAATCAATATCATGAAAATGGCCATACTGCCCAAGGTAATTTATAGATTCAATGCCATCCCCATCAAGCTACCAATGACTTTCTTCACAGAATTGGAAAAAACTACTTTAAAGTTCATATGGAACCAAAAAAGAGCCCACATCGCCAAGTCAATCCTAAGCCAAAAGAACAAAGCTGGAGGCATCACGCTACCTGACTTCAAACTATACTACAAGGCTACAGTAACCAAAACAGCATGGTACTGGTACCAAAACAGAGATATAGATCAATGGAACAGAACAGAGCCCTCAGAAATAACGCCACATATCTACAACTATCTGATCTTTGACAAACCTGAGAGAAACAAGCAATGGGGAAAGGATTCCCTATTTAATAAATGGTGCTGGGAAAACTGGCTAGCCATATGTAGAAAGCTGAAACTGGATCCCTTCCTTACACCTTATACAAAAATTAATTCAAGATGGATTAAAGACTTAAACGTTAGACCTAAAACCATAAAAACCCTAGAAGAAAACCTAGGCATTACCATTCAGAACACAGGCATGGGCAAGGACTTCATGTCTAAAACACCAAAAGCAATGGCAACAAAAGCCAAAATTGACAAATGGGATCTAATTAAACTAAAGAGCTTCTGCACAGCAAAAGAAACTACCATCAGAGTGAACAGGCAACCTACACAATGGGAGAAAATTTTCACAACCTACTCATCTGACAAAGGGCTAATATCCAGAATCTACAATGAACTCAAACAAATTTACAAGAAAAAAACAAACAACCCCATCAAAAAGTGGGCGAAGGACATGAACAGATACTTCTCAAAAGAAGACATTTATGCAGCCAAAAAACACATGAAAAAGTGCTCACCATCACTGGACATCAGAGAAATGCAAATCAAAACCACAATGAGATACCATCTCACACCAGTTAGAATGGCAATCATTAAAAAGTCAGGAAACAACAGGTGCTCGAGAGGATGTGGAGGAATAGGAACACTTCTACACTATTGGTGGGACTGTAAACTAGTTCAACCATTGTGGAAGTCAGTGTGGCGATTCCTCAGGGATCTAGAACTACAAATACCATTTGACCCAGCCATCCCATTACTGGGTATATACCCAAAGGACTATAAATCATGCTGCTATAAAGACACATGCACACGTATGTTTATTGAGGCTCTATTCACAATAGCAAAGACTTGGAACCAATCCAAATGTCCAACAACGATAGACTGGATTAAGAAAATGTGGCACATATACACCATGGAATACTATGCAGCCATAAAAAATGATGAGTTCATGTCCTTTGTAGGGACATGGATGAAATTGGAAATCATCATTCTCAGCAAACTATTGCAAGGACAAAAAACCAAACACTGTATGTTCTCACTCATAGGTGGGAATTGAACAATGAGATCACATGGACACAGGAAGGGGAACATCACACTCCGGTGACTGTTGTGGGGTGGGGGAAGCGGGGAGGGATAGCATTAGGAGATACACCTAATGCTAAATGACAAGTTGATGGGTGCAGCAAACCAACATGGCACATGTATACATATGTAACTAACCTGCACATTGTGCACATGTACCCTAAAACTTAAAGTATAACAATAATTAAAAAAAAAGTCTACTGAATAGGAAAACATTAAAAAAAAAAAGAAATCTCTGGAATTTATCTCTTTCTCCTCCATTATTCTTGTCACAGAACACTCTTATCTTTTTCAGGAAAAAGTCCTAAAATATCTCAGAAAGGAACTCATGTCTCAGGCCTCAGTGCGCTCTAGCCTACTATATACTTATTTCAGACTTACCTTTCTAAAATATAAATCTGAACTTCTGGTCAAGATGGTATACGATTTCATATAGAAGACCACCTTTCTGCCTCTTGCCTTCACTCCAAAATAGCAAAGACATAATACAAGAAAATACGCAAACACACACTTTTCCTCACATACAAATGACTCCAGAGGGAGAAAAAAAAAACAGAGAAAAAAAAATACAGGGATATAAGCAGGATATAAGCAGTAGCTCTGAAATCCATAACAGGCAGACAGTTTTCACCTCTACTATGACAACAAGGATGAAAGTCCCTAATCATTGTGGGGAAAGAGAGCAGACAGGCCCACTGAGTCAAGCGAGATTGTCCTGCCATGAGGGCTTCCCCAACCCATTAACCAAAGTCAGTGCATCATCACTATTGGAGGCCTTCACAGAGCCATTGCCTAGAGTGGCCAAGAAGGAACAACAGGAACTGGACCAAATTTCTTATTACTGATCAGCATTAGTTCCTCAAACAAAAGTCCTGATCCACCAATATAAAATTGTTCTTGAGTGGGGAACCCTGCTGAAACCCACGGAAGCACCAGACACCAAGAGTCAGGAAGATGACAGAAAGGTGGGGAAGGTGGGGAAGAAACTTCTGCATAAGATAAACTTGCAAACTAAAATTCCAGAACACTGTGAAGCATGGTGGCTGACACCTGTAATCCCAGCACTTGGGGAGGCCAAGATTGGCAGATAGCTTGAGGCCAGGAGTTTGGGAGCAGCCTGGCCACAAGGTGAAACCCTATCTCTACTAAAAATGCAAAAATTAGCTGAGTGTGGTGGTGTACACCTGTAATCCCAGCTACTCAGGTGGGTAAGTCATGAGAATCGCTTGAACCCAGGAGGCAGAGGTTGCACTAAGCCAAGATCACACCATTGCACTACAGCCTGGGCAACAGAGTGAGGCTTTTCTCAAAAACGAACAAACAAAAAAAATCAGAACACATAGCAGAATAAGATGAAAGATGGCCAAAATAATTGTAAAACATTCAACAAACGGGAAGACCCAATTCTAAGCAAATAAAAAATAATCTAAAAGTCTTCTAGAAAAATACATGTCCTTAAAATTCTCAAAAGTTTTAAAAATGGAATAACATCCCAAAAAGCCAAAACAAAAACTACATACAACTTAAGTAGCTATGCATCAAAGACAGGAGAGATTTTGAAAAAACAATGAGAAAGAAGAAAAGGAGAACGAGAAGATATGAATGGCAGGAGAAGCAGCCCTTAGTAATCCTAGGAATTAAAATTGTAATCATTATTATTAAAAAATTATAGATTATATAAATCCTAGCCAAAGGGTATTAATGAATTGGAGGAGAATATACAAAAATTAAACCAAAGCCAGCATAAAAATATGAAGATTGTTTTTAAATATGAAAAGGATTTAAGAGTCATGGAGGATAGACTAAAATGCTCCAACATGATGCTAATCAGCATTCCAGACATGGAGATCAGTGAGAATGAATAAGAAGTCACAGCTGAAAATACACTGCTGTTGATTTTTCCGAATTGCAGAAAAAGGTAATCCTCACATATAAAGAACATACTAGTTACTGAATAGTATAGTTAAAAGTAAATACACACCTGGACATGCCTGGTACCCAGACAGACAAGTAGAGCAGTGAAACAGATAGGAAAGGGTCTCCAAGCAACCCCATTCCTACATGGGCACTCAGTATGTGACACAAGGAGTGGTACAGATTAGCCAATTGTTTTCAGCTTTGATAGTTTAGTGACAGCTGTATGAAAAGAAGAACTCTCACTTCATATTTTAATACATTTATATTTAGGGATTTTTTGACAATTAAAAGAAAAGTGAAAATAAATTGCACTATTACTCCCCTAGAGTTTCCCTGTAATCCGCACTATGTGAGTCTCTAAAATGCCTTATGAAATGCCATTCTAAAATTTTTCACATCAATAAACCCTTTGGGCCATTTGAGGAAAACCATCCCATTTTTAAAGTAGTGATAAAATAGAGAGCACGATGCCTGGATACAACTGGGAGACTAACAGAAGAATATTTTATGTCGAACATGGTGAAACCCCATCTCTACTCAAAAAAAAAAAAATTAGTTGGGCGTGTTGGCATGCACCTGTAATCCCAGCTACTGGGGGCACTGAGGCAGGAGAATCTCTTGAACTCGGGAGGCGGATGTTGCAGTGAGCCGAGATCGCGCCATTGCACTCCAGCCCAGGCAGTGAAACTGTCTCAAAAAAAAACAAACAAAAAAAAAACGGAAGATAAAGCCCACCCTATGATTTGTGGAAATTTATTATAATTACTAAAAAAGACATAAAAAAGTTAAAGGACAATCCACATGAGAAAACTTAAGTCCCAACTAAAATAGTGCGTTAAAAAAAAATCAGGGGACCAATTTACGATGTTAAAGAGAAAAGACAATTTTTTTTTTTTTTACAAACTGTACATGAAATAGAACTGGAATGTCTCAGGCAACTCTAACTGTTTTTGAGTCTCTTATCTGTCTGCATTTTTTAACTTAAAATCAATTTTAAACATTATTATACAATGAAATAGAGCATCAGCATAGTCATGGCTTATCTGTGGTCAAATGAAAGGAATTTCAACCAGACCCCTTCTTAGGAGAAATTTCCATACCTGGAGATGGGTGCTTGGTTTAGGTACTGGAACATAGGGTATCAGACTTTCCACAGACCAAGACATTTGAAATAAACCAAATATTTCACCCTAAAAATTTTTTTTATGTATTTCAAGATGACTATTGAGAGGGCTGGAAATACAAGAATAGCTGAGAAGCTGTCTTTTGTGGGAGATTTGCATCTCTAGAGAAAGTCTGCACTGCTGCAGCCAGGCTCTATCTGAGGACCTTTCCTGGTTTGATCTGGGAAAGATTAACTGAGGTCTGAAAGAAACATTTATTTTGTTTCAGGGCTGCTTCCTGTGAGGTTTTGTCTGCATAACAAGACCACATTGGCTAGCCAGGCCTCCTTTTCTCTTCCTTCAATAACCTGTTCTGCCATGACCCAAACCTCTATTTTTTCTAAAATCTCAAGGTGATGTAAAGGTGTCAACAATCTTCCTTTTCTCTGAGATCTTATACTGAGATTTCATAAAGTCCTCCTGTACATGTTAATAAATTTGTATGCCTTTTCTCCTATTAAACTGCCTTTCGTGAGTTGATTTTCAGTGAACCTTTACAGAGTAAAGGAAAAGTTTTCCCTTGGTCCTGACACATTTTACAGGGAAGAGGAGAAATTAGACAAGCTTCTAGAAGACAGTGTGGGCCAGCCAAACAGGGGGAAACCTGGAAGAAATGCAATCACACTCACACAGAAAAATGTATTTGTTCCCAAAATTCACCTTCTTTCCCGCAGTCATAGCAGCAGTGGAGAGGAGTCTGGAACCATAGTTCTAGATACTCGCGCAGTGACTGGATTCCCGGAACATAGTTGGAGTGAGTATAACGAGAAAGTTTAAAAATCCAAAACTGCAGCTCAGCCCCTTCCCAGCTGAAACATAGCTAAGGTTTAAAAAAAAAAAAAAAAAAAAAAAAAAAAGGCAGCTGTACTAGATATTGGAAGTTGGGCTAGTCGCAGATGAACTCAATCTAGTTAAAGCTGTGGCCCAACCTGGAACAACTCAACTATAAAAGGAATCTGAGCAATCACCTTGTCTGAGAGATGAAACGCCTCTATTGCTCTTCTTATCACAGTGTCTGGAACACAAACAGCCAATAAGCAGAACTACAGATGACCCCATTACCTAAGGTGCAGATAGAAGTTTAAAACAATTATTGTTAATATATTAAATAATAATATAGTAGGTAAAGAGC
Source organism: Homo sapiens (assembly GCF_000001405.40). NCBI lineage: Eukaryota > Metazoa > Chordata > Mammalia > Primates > Hominidae > Homo > Homo sapiens. Next base: position 154,004,795 of record NC_000003.12, read on the forward strand.
ATTTAAAGAGAGAAGAATCACATAGACTTCTACAACCAAAAAAAAATACTGTACTGTATTTTACATTTCAAAATGTACTGGATAAGATTAACAGCAAATTGCACACAAATAGTACATAAAAGACTAAGTGAACTTGAAGACAGGCCAATCGAAATTACATAAACTGTAGAAAAAAATAAAATAGTTTGTAAGGAGAGAATCATCTGCATTCTGTAAGATATATTTAAATAGTCTAACGCATGTATAATTAAAGTCACAGAAGAAAAAGGGAATAAAACAGAAAAATATTTGGAAGAAATTGTAGTATTTTGCACATTTGATGGGCAAAACCTCAAGTCACAGATTCAAGAAGCCCAACAAATCCTGAGCAAAATAAATATTTTAACAGAAACCACAACTACAAACGTCATAGTTAAATTGCTAAATATGAAAGATAAAGTTTTTAGAAGCAGCTACAGGAGAAAGTCACAGTGCATATAGAAAAACAATGATAAGAATAATCAATGACTTTTCATAAGAAACAATGGTAGCCAGAAGACAATAAAATGACCTCTATAAAGTACTGGCAGAAAAACTATTTGCCTAAAATTCCATATCCATCAAAAATATACGTTAAAAACCAAGGTGAAATAAAAGTATTTGCAGATAAAGGAAAGCTAAAATAATGTTTGCCAATACTTTCATTTTACAAGTACTTTAAAAAGTTATTTAATTTGAAGGAAATTAAGCTATATGAAAACTTGGAATTACAGGGAAGTGAAAAACAGTAGAAACAGTAAATATGAAGGCAAATTAAAAATACTGTCTTATTTAATTCTTTCAAAAATAATTGCTTAAAGTAAAAACTACAAGACTGCATTGTGGGGTTTATAATATAGATGGAAGAGTTATACATAATAAAACAAAGGAGAGGAGGGGTAAATGTAGGTTCTCAGATTGTGTGTGAAGTGGTATAATATTAATTCAATGTAGACTGTGTTAAAGATGCATATTGTAATACATCTTTATTATAATGTAACTATTTATTAAGGGTTCCTAGAGCAAGCATTAATACATTTAAAAGAGGTATAGCTAAAAAGCTAATAAAGGAAATAAAATGGAACTTTTAAAAGCATTAGATTAAAAGTACTTTAAAAAGTATGTAAAAGCACTTTTATAGTATTGAAAGTACTTTTAAAAGAAGTACACCTCTTACTGAGGATATCGTTTATAATTGGTTTATAAAACTAATTATTATCAGTCTTCCATCACTGCTGTAACGAATTACCTCAAAAACATAAGTGTATTATCTTACACTTCTGTACGTTGACACAGTTCTCACTGGGCTAAAATTAAGACGTCAGTAGGACTGCGTTCCTCTCTGAAGTTTATGGGAGAATTTGTTTTATTTTTCCATCTTCTAGAAACCACGCATCATTTCTTGGCTCTTGAGCCCCTTCCTTCATTTTCAAAGACAGCAACTGTCTGACCCTTTTTCTGGTCATCACATTTATCTCTGACTGACTACAGCTAGAAAAGTTTCTCTGTCTTTAAGGGTTTATGTGATTAGACTGGACCACCTTGATAATCTCCCCATATCAAGTCCTTAACCTTAATCACATCTACAAAAGTCTATTTTCCTCATAAGGTAGCATATTCCTAGGTTCTAAGGATTAGGATTAGGATCTGCACATCTTTGGGAGCCATTATTCTGCCTACCACAATTGGCAAGGTAGTAGGACACAAACACAGGCTCAAGTCTGGAAATAGAACTAAGCCAATAGCTGGCTTGGTGATTGGATCTGCAATATCACCAAAATTATATCAGTGTAGAGGCACCAAAATACATTAAAACACTTGGTTCTCACTGGGGACCTGGAGCCTATGTGGAAACAAAAAAAACACTTATTAGAGAGGAGCAAGCAGAGAAGGAGATAAAAGGGGGAAAGAAACTACCATTCAAAATGAGGCTAAAAATCAAAATACTAGGACCACATCTAAAGCTCTGAAAGACAACCAGAAAAAATATATAATCAGAATGTTAATATAATGAAGATAAAATTAATTTTATTAAAAAACTGACAAAGAATTTATAATCAATATTTACAGTATTTAAATTGACAAATGAATCATATCCATGAAAAAAGAATTAAAATCTAAGAAATTCAACTTGCAAAAATAAAATAAAAACATGGTATTACTTAAAAGAAGTAATTACATTTTTAAGTGACACAGAGGTGAAAGTGTGTCCAATGTAAATCTCACAGGAATATAATAAAAGCATGAAGGAAACAATGCAGAAGTAATATTTAAAGAGGTAACTATTCAAAAGAGTAAAATCATAATAGAACTGTAATTGTCAAGGATGAAGAGTCCTAAAAGCTGAAATAAATAACCAATTACCTTTGAAATGAACACAAATTAAACTCACAATGAGCACTGAAATTGCATTACTAAACTAGATAAGGGCAATACGAGAAAAGAAAATTATAGAATAATTACACTCATGAACACAGATGCAAAAATTCTTTTAAAATACAGCAAACAATAAAATTTAGCACTGTGTTTTTATTTATTTATTTTTTTAAGAAGTGTCAGGTAAGGGCATTCGGGATGTTGCAAGTCCTGATTACACAGAAACGTTAATCACATATTATGCGAACCCCAATCATCATGTTCTAATCTGCCTTGCAAAAGGAGGAACATGTAAGAATTCTCCCACCTGACGATCAGTACAATGTTCTTAAAAGGACATCATAAACAAATAGGGTTCACCCAAGGAGTGCAAAAATGAAGTGTCTTTAGGAAGTCTATTAAATTTAATATACCACATTAACAGAATAAAAGGGAAATAATATGTACAATTCTCAGTTGTTCACATATAGCAACTCAATAACAAAAATGATTTTGTAAAATGTAATTTGACTATATTAAAACAAAAAACAAAGCAAACCAACAAAACCACTAGCAAACAAAGAAGGGACTGGAACTTTTCTAATCTGATGTATTATTGGGGTCCAGTCAATAAGATAGATCCCATACCAAGTTGTCCTGTTTACAGAATTTAACATAAGGAACTAGTTACAGAGGTGTGGAGAGAGTGCAAAGTCCTAAAAGGTGACAGACATTAATGAAGCAGGAAGCTATAACATTCCTAATGTGAGGTACAAAAGGAGGAGGTAATGTAGGTAGATGCCAAGACCTAAGGCTACCAGGCAAGGGCTGGATGTATATAAAGACTCTGGCATGAACGAGGACCATGGAAAAAGGAACTGTCTCTAGGAGATGAAACTCCTGTCAGATACTACCTGAAGAAGCATCAAGAGTAGGAGAGAAACTTCCCAACTTCACTTTTTCTTCCATTCCTGTCTCCTAACAGCGCATTCTATTGGCCAAACATAGCAGAAGCCCAGTTGGGAGTGTCTGGGAGATGCAGTTTGCAAGAAAAAGGCAGAGATCTAAGAACAAACAGTAATGACCAACATAACTTGATAAAGGATATCTATCAACAAGCCAAACAAACTTTGAAGATATTTCTTTAACATTAGAAACAAGAAAAGAATATATTCATCATGACTTCCATTCAACAGCCTATTGGAAGACCTAGAAAAACAAATGAAACGATAGTAGTAACAGGAAAGGAATATAAAAAAACAGCACTTATATCCTGACAATATAATTGTCTACACAGAAAATCCAAGATAATTCTTAAACCTACCATTCAAATTAATGACAGAGGTAAGGATTGCTGAATATATAATAAAGTCAATGAACAAAAATAGGCCTTCTGGGGGTATGGCTAATGCATACAAAAAAAATAGAAAGAATAAA